>NC_000009.12:101856915-102008430 GCF_000001405.40 Homo sapiens
TTGACTCTTCTTTTTTTCTATTCTCTATAAAATCAAATTTTAAATTTATATCATAACACATTATTTATTAATCTTGTTCTATAGATTATAAAAATTGTAGAACTCAGAAAATGACCTAACAGTAATTTTAATAGCTTGTAACTTACTTTCCTTATTGACCATAAACATTGATGTTTTTATCTTTAGAACTGTCACAGTATGTTTCTATTTCTTACCTTCCAGCTGGTTATAGCCCATATTCAGCTGCTGAGTAGAATACAATTGTGAGATAAGCAAATTTAAAGTTCATAATTAAATATTGAAACTGTTCAAAGTGGCAATGACAAATATGGCCCTAAGATACAGGTTTTCTTAAGAGCATTGCTCATATTTTGCATGTAGTAAAGGACAGTTCCTGATTGTAGCCAAGATAGGGGAATATCCATACTTTAACTCCAATTTTTTTAACTAAATAATTTATTTTGAAAGAAGACATTATGTAACCTTATATTATTTCCAAGTCAGATTGCTTTCTGAAAAAAAAAGAAAACCTGAGAAGAGTTTATAAAAAACCTTTGCAAAATTTCTTTCTCAAATCTATTTATGTAGTAAGATTAGATTAATTAAAAATAATTATTTTATCAACTCTTAATATGTTAGCCATCACTTTTTCAAGGTGACTTTTATTTTTAAAAATCAATATTTCACTCAGTGAAAATGTTATGGAACGAGACATGATAATTAGCATAAATAAATTACTTCTATGATGGAATCTAAACTACACAAACTCTCCCTCATAACCATCAATCTTTCATTTTAGTGAAAATAGTTGTTTGACTGAACTGGCTACAAAGCATAAGGCACACCCATCACTTTAATATATGAAGAAATTAATTAAAATTTGAGCCTCAGCAGCTGAGTATAGAGCACAGACTGAGACCCAACAAAGATAGTTCCTGCTCTCAAGGGATTTATATTCTAGACAACCACAGATGCCAATAATTAGTTGGGCAACAGTTGTAAGCATTTACTTTATCTTGGTAACAATACTAAGAGAGATGCTCACCTCATTACTGGGCATCTGTGGTCTTAAGCCTAACTGGGAAGGCACAGTGCAGGTAGGTGTCAGGGGGTTGGGCAGGTGTCAGGGGTACTTAAATAAATACATTCCTGTTCCCACAAAGATGGCAAAAATGTAAAGCTCAACCTTGACAACGATTTTTGAGACTCAGGCGTGGGTCTCTGCATGCAGCAGCCATAAGAAAGAACCAACAGAAGGCAGAAGACCATGTTCCAGCTAAGGAGCACTCTGCTGGCAAGTGGATAGCACAGCTCGATTTGCCGAATGCCTCTGAAGCTGTCACAGAACAGAAAGCTTCAAGTCTCTGTAGGCAGCTCACGTGTAGGGGCTGCTGGGGAAGGTCTGTTGCTCTTGATGTTGCTGCCCATAAGGAGATGATGCTTTCTGTATGAGGTCAAATCATTGTTGGAAAACCAACAAAATGAGTGATGCTATAAATAATCATCCCTGAAGAAATGTTTTAAAAGAAAAACAACATTGGACAGATATCTTTACTGTGACATTATTTATAATAGCAGAAAATATTCTAAAAGAAAACAAAAAATACAACAGAATGTATAAGTACATTATGATTTATCATGCAAGGGTACTATTGGGCTGCCAATATAATGATAATTATAAAAAACTACCTAGTAACAAAGGAAGGTATTTGTGAATTATATTAAATGCATAAAGTAGAAAACTACACATTGTATGTTTTGTTTAAACTATATTGAAAAAAATGGAATGTTAATAGAGACAAATGAAAAAGATTATAAACAAACGAGTACCAAACTTAGAGACAGAATATCTGGATTTGTAATCTGTATTTATCATTTATGATTTGCACATGAGCAAATTAATCAGTTCTCTTCAACCTCAGAATTGCAAAATGGTCATAATGCTATCAACCTTATTCTGAGAATGTGCGTATCAACTGGAATAACATGCCTATCTTCTATACAGTGCAGTCAAGAGGGTGGGCTTAGGACCCAGGCAGCCTGCTTAAACTCTGGTCCGGGCACATATTATTCATGGATCTTTGGACAAGGTAATTAACTGAGGATGCCTCAGTTTCCTTACTGGTAACTGGGACGTTTGAGTCAGGGGTTAAAAGCATGAAAGTTGGAGCTAAATGCTTGGATTCGAATCAGTCATTTTCTGGTTTTAGCAAGTTACTTAACTTCTCTGGGTCTCTATCACCTTGTCTTTAAAATAAGGATAAAAACAGTAACTGCTACATGAGCTGTTGTTAAAGTGTTATGATTTAATTTGTTTAAGAGTTTCTGGGACAGTCTGGCACACATAATAAGCGCTTAAACGCTTAAGAAATGTTAGCCATTATTATTCAGAAAAAAAGGAAAAACATTGACGTTGGTTGAGCTGGTTCTGAATTTGGATAGGAGCTAAAAAGAAACCCAGACAAATAAAACATGTTACTGCAGTAGGACTGTTGGGCGGGGGTGGGTGGATGGGTGGGGTTTGGGGGTATTTTGTCCTTGTTTTAGATTTCTTTATTGCTGCAGCAATATTTTGTTTCAACAATAAATCATAATTTAAGATGGGAAAAATGAACAAATCTGTTCTATGTGCTATTCCCTGAGGCAATGCCTGCTCCAGTGACTGACTGATAAACTAATGTGTGCTGTAGTATTAATAGCTTATAACGGATTAATATGTTACGCACTACCCCCAAGGTAATATATTCGCATTTTAAACAGGCACCTTATGCTGGAGGTAGGTACAGATTGGTGTTAGGAAGCTTTTGATTCAAGGGAACCTTTGGGCACTGCTGCAGTCACCCAGTCTTGGTATTTGAGTATTGCACAAAAGAGAGCTGAATTCTGAAGGCCCCCAGGCTGCCACAGTCATTCTTTATCTGATCAATGAGGCTAGCAGAGCCAGGGAAGCAGCAGCATCCTTCTACATGCAAAAACAGAACCACTACACAGACCCACTGGATTTACCACTGCAGAAATCATATCCACCCTTCAACCCAACTGTCTCCCTCTCCCTCATCCCTGCTGAAAACAGAAAAGCCACTTTTAAAGAGCAAGACAAACCAAATTGGTCTGCCTTTAAAATAGATATAACCCATTTATTTGTGCCTACAAAGTTATGTCACAGATATTTTAAAGATCAAATTATACTAGCTCAAGTCCTCATTGAATGAATTGTTGGGAATCAGCCTCCATAAAAACATCCTGATTTTATTCCACAAATATTTATTGAGCATCCACCAAATGCCAGACACAGGAGACTGAGTAGCGAACAAAACGCAAGTTCTTGCCCACATGGAATTTACATTCTGATAGAAGTTATTTCTGAGAGTTTGTAAAGGTAGACTTATCTGTGCCTGTAATGTGTCAGCTGCAGTGACCTCCACCCAGCAAACATGTTGTTTGGCTCCTCCAGCTCAGGATCCCCTTTCCCCTCAACTGTCACCCACTAAGTCAGTTGGCTCAGAGGACCCACAATGTGGCCATTGTCTCCCCTGAAATCTCCAATGGTCTTGTTAAGGCCGTTAAGATTTCCAGTATTCAAGGGATCAGACTTGTTGAGTTCCAAGAAAACTGATGAAGGAGAAAGACCTACTCCTTAACTATAAATCCACTTTGTTACCAGTGTCCTGAAAGCATCTCTTCTTGTACCAAAAATCTCCTTTGAGTGAAGGAATCAGATTCTGGCCAGCCCTGTTGATCAAAATCTCATGAAGACAGGCTCGTGACTTTCAGTCCTTCATCCCTTTAACAACAGATCTCAAACACAGGCCTGGGAGCCAGATGGGAACTTGCTGGTGTCCTTACTATTCTCTGCTCAGTGCTTGCCTGTGGCCCAAACTCCTCCATTCCCCAGTTACACAGCAAACATTTCCCATACACCTTAGTAAGAAATGATACACACTCTGATGGTATCTTGATCGCATTTCAGTCATCCCCAAATGCCCTGTTACATCCTTAAGAAAAAGTCAAAATCATGGAGGACTAGAGATGCCAAAATTAAGGTCAATGTGACTAGGAGATCATCAACTCTGGGCATGAAGGCAAAAGCTAAGCCTAAGGTTAGGTGTGAACTCAACAGCTGCCTCTTTATTCCTCTTCAGTGTCTTTTCTTCATTGCCCGCAAAGGTGCTTCCCAGTCTATTTTCTGTTGGGTAGAGTACAACATAGCAGAAAGAGGAACTTGGGTCTTCTGATATCAAGAGAAGTGAAATACCTTAGAGTAGAGTCACCTCCCTTGAGTGCACTATGGTTTCTAATGTCTCAGTCAAATGGTATATTTGGAACTTACATATTTTTCATGCAGAAGGAACTGGAAAGTTAATTAGTCCTCTGATTTTTCATATTGTTTTCTGGGAATCAGTTCAACATAAGGCAAGGAGACAGTGAACTGCTGAGGGGTTAAGGGACCACACAGCAGGTAAATCCATATCTCTGAAACCTGATTGAATGCCACCGAAGGAAACTTACAGTGTGATTCTTATTTCTCAGCCCACATCAGCCTGAGAGTAAAAGAGTAAAACTGTGTATAATAATAGTCTTGAAATAAAAATGGCACTTCTCTGGATCTTTCTACAACAACAACTACAACTTCAACCCCAGTTCAAGACTCCCTTCCCTTTAAGTTCTTCTTGGTAGAGCTGGTATCACTGGGCATGCAGCGTGGTATATATTGTCTATCATTTTCTCGTTTCCTGTTCTGTGTCCAGACTTCTAAAGTAGTGACAGCTGGTGAGACATTGGGTCCTGATGCCATGCTGAGGCTATCAATGCAAGTGAGACTTCTGCAAGGTTTCTGTCAAACAAATAGAATATCTAGCACAGTCATATAAGTACTGCCTTTTTATTTTCAATGTTTTAGAGAATATAGTGTTTCTGACTCTTTCATTTTTTGCTCTATCCCCAGAACTCATGTTTTGGCCTATCAGGCTGGTACAGAAAGTCTCTGGGACACTGCTTTGGGCTTACAATCTTCTCCCTTCTTCACTCAAGCTCCATCACTGGCCCGTAACTCCTGGGTCCAACCTGGGTATGATTGCAACTCCTTATTTTGAGGATAAAGCCTGATGAGGGAGACTCCTAAGTCTTTCATGTAAACTGATCTCTTGACACCAGCCCTACCAATCTTTAAGAACAACTGAGTCTATTTTGTGCCTAGATTTCTGCAGTAATAGTGTTGAAGTAACTACACTAGTGCTTAATAAGTGCAACTCTGACTTCACACTCTCTTGGCTTAATCCCTATGTCCTCCTTTCTCACCTCCACACTCCAAACAAATTCTGTTAGAAGGGATGTCTCATGGATTTAAGTCCCGAAGTAACCACATCTAATTACATCTTAACTTGAAGAATGGCCTGTTAAATCCATTGGTTTGAAGAAACAGATTAACTATAGTATATTGAGGGCAAAGGACAAAGGGTGGAGTTGTTTTTTCTTTGTCTAAAACATAGAAATGCTAATAATTTCTTGGGGAGATAAATATTTATTAGTTTAAGCAGGTTGGGAGAAACCCAGGATTTCAAATTTAACATTTTTACATGCCACTTTTTATGGTGGGCCCTCTTGACTAATTAAAATAATATTTAACATATGTTTCAAAAAATTTGTTCATTTTCCCTCTAAATATTTTCTCCCAACTGCTGTGAATAGATATATAATCTTGGTAGTTCCAGTGAGCCAAATAAACATTTGTACTTCTGAAATTTAGAGGTAAACTTCAATTATTCCAAAGAAAATAGTTCCAATGAGCATAATTTCCTAGGGATTTTACTTTAGGAATATACTCAACCTTCACTGCTTGATCATCCTTTCAACATCTTTCTCTGCTACACTCAGGTTACTCCTCTATGCTGGCATCATTCTTTTTTATTTATATTATTTATTTCTATGTAGTCTAAATAAATGTGGAATGTGCACATTTTAAAGAATTCTCATTTATATAAAAGTAGGAACAAAGACAGATAGTCTACTATGGCAAAAATATTCCATGCTATTTTTTTTCAAATCATTCTTTAGTTTAAACAAGACATTTTTTAGGTAGACTGCCTTGTAACTATGACATTTATGAATGCTGGAATTTTCCTGTGTGATTTACCTTCCCCATTACTCTGTAATTGGTGGAGAATATTAAAAGAAATTCTTTTAGAAAAAAAAAGAAAAGAAACCAACAACAATAGCCAATTATTCTGCTATTTGAAACCAAGAGGCAACCTGAAGTCTTCAGAAGCAAAATCATATTCTTTTAAATAATATTATAAAATGTTTCTGCTTTCATCTGCAAAAGGTATACATCTACAAGTTTTCATTTCACATGACCCTGTTCATTTCTGCTTTGCATTTAAACCTTTGTTCATAGCTGTGGGAAATCAAGTCAAAATCAAAGCTTCTCAGGAGGGAAAAGGAACGATGAATGTATAATATGTGCAGGGAAGTCATACCAAAGAACTTGGCAGTTCTCCTAATCAGCCATACTCTCTTCTACCTCCCTGTCCTGCTGCAGTGCTGCTTCCTCCCATGAAATGTTCTTGCTGTCATTTCCTGGATAGGTTCTGTTTCTTTTTCAGGACTCATGAGTGGTATTGGTTCACTGGGCAGCCTTCCCTGGCTGTCCCAGTCTGGTTATTTGTCCTCCTCTATGCTTCTGCTTGTGCTGTGCCTCCTCCATCACAGCAGGTCTCTCTGTGTTGTGGCTGCGTCTGCTCCTCTGTCTTCTCTGTGGGAGAAGTAACCTCTGATGGCCCGGCCGCTTTTCATCTCTGAGATGCCAGGCCTGTTCCGGTGCTCATCATGCATGATTTGAGTAAATTAAATGAAAGTGGTTGAGTGCCTCCTGGCTCTTGAAAGGGAGAAAGGGACACTCTGTGGAGTCAAGACTGAATATCTGAGTCCTGAAACATTTTTCTGTGATGGGAAAATGGTTTTCTTTCTCTTTAGCCATTATTTAGAATCTTTCCATTGTGTTTAAAATATGGATACTAGGAGAGAGAGGTCTCCTGATTTCCTTTTTCTCAGGTTAAGACTCAGGCATCGGGGAAGTGTTTTAGATAGCTGAGAGTAACATAGGGTGAAGGGCACAATGGTGTTAGATGGGGGACTGGTGGGGTGCAGGTATGGGCTGCAAGGCCTCCGATGTTCTTGTGTGGTACTGATGCTAGGTTGAGGGGCAGTGGGCCTGGCATGGGGCTTGAATGACAGGGGAGTGGAGGAACACTGCAGTAAATGCTGCCATGGTTTGCAGACTGGCTGGGTAGATGAAAGTGACATAGGCTAAGCCATTCAGTGATTGGTAACCAGGCCCTGACCAAGTTCAGAGAATCTAGGTCAAGAGTTATACCAACAGCTGCAAACACTAGAAGTTAAGTCCATGTCAGGTGTGAGCCAGTACAAACCCAAGGACAAGCAAGAGGTCAAGGGTCCCCTTTGCCACTCTCCCCAACCCTGGCAGCCTTGTCATATTGTAGCTTTTCCCTAAATACCTGATACTATCTTGGGAAGAGTAACTGGGAAATAAAAGCTAGCAAGAGATTAGACACACTTTATTTAGAAAATACTGAAAGTTACCCAAAGAGACTATTCATATTGTTAGCCATTTTAAAGTTTAAAATGAATAGGAATAAAAGTCATAATTACCATTGTTATTTTCACTACGGTTGGGGCCTTAGATAAACAATGAATTAGTTAAAAATTTCATATTTCTATGTATTCAAGTTGAAATATGAGTTATAATTGCAAATGTATTACACATTTATCCCTAATTTAATTCGAAGTTGGTACAACATAGGACCATCCAAAACCTAACAGGTGCCTGTCCTGTCCCACAAATTTATTTTTTGCTTTTGATATTTTATCTAGTGTAATATCGATTGTACATGTAACAAGCCATCTATAGATGCATTATTTTATTAATGTTTTATTAATCTGCTTGCAAATCCCTCTAAATTTTGTACATTTACCAACAGCTCCCTTTAACACATGAATGTCAGAGAAGTATAATAGCATCTTTAAGGACCACAATACTCCCACTTATACCAAAAAAGTAAAAAGGAGAATTGTGTCAATTATCTCAATTATTTAGGAAAGCCATCATTTTGGTCAATTTATACACAATTTCCTTTTAAAAACATACACGTTTGCCTAAACAGGCAACAGCTGTCTTCCTACTACCTATGCCCCACTGAAAATTGCATGAACTTATGCCAGTGCAGTTTCTCCAGACAATGCATATTCCTATTATTTCACTGAAATTGTCAAAAAATGAAATGGTGAGTATATGAGGAAAGGGAGAATAAATGTGTTTTCAGTAGACCTTAAATATATTATCCTGCTGATCATTTTTGGCCTGATTGACAAAAGCAAAGTGAAATAGAAAATTGAAGCAATTATCTGAATCATTCCTGTTCCCTGTCTCAGGCACCACGTCTTCCCAAAAGAGGATGGTTAAAAGATCTTTATTTAGGATCCTTTAGGCCTCTTAGATTTCTCTAACCTTCTGTCAGAACACAGGCTTGGCTTCTCTAGCTAGATGAACTAGAGTGAAAAACAGTGTTTCATTTGAAATTTTGGCTGAGGAGTAAGGAGTCATGGTTTCATCATCTCACGTGACTCTGGAGTTGCACCCCAGGAATAAACTTTTGAGAGCTTTTGTCACGTTTAAAGGACTATTGCATTCTAAGATAGTCCAGAGCTGTGCATGTGCTGGCATTCTCTTTCTTCTTCCCGGCTTTAGTGAGGTGTAATTGACAAATAAAAATTGAATGTGCGGATATTCTTCAACTCTGGAAAACGTTGGGCTGTTAGTAATGACTCCTGTCCTTCTGAATTGTCATCTTATATAATATTGTCTATTTACATAGTGCTTTGGAATTTATAAAATGCTCTGTTGTGTCATTCAGTCCCCACCCTTAGAGCTCTCTATATGATTCAATCTCCTTTCCCACTAACTGCTCGGGATGGTCTTCTACATTTTAGAAGTGCTTTAAAATTAGAATATATTGTTTTAATTTGTATCTTCATGCTTTTACATATTTTGTTTTCCCATCATATGTGTCCTGATCTTTCAAGCCTCATTTCCAGAATCACTTTTTCTGGAATATTTTTCTGACTTTGCCTTCCTCTCTTCCCACCCCAGAAAAATGTGACACATTTCTTCCTCTCCACTACTCTAGAATTTGGTAACTCCTATAGTATAAACCTATCACTTCGTATGCAAATGTGGTTCCTATCCTGCACCTCCATCCTAGATTTGGAATTCCCTCAGGGAAATGGTTTCATCGCATTTGTCTTTGCATGCCAAGAGCTAACAACAATGTCTGGTGCATATTAGGTTGTGACATGAAGGATTTATTTTAAGTAATTATTACTGAGGTAGACAGGAGAAACCATTTTTTTTTGAAAGAATAAACCTTAACATTCTTTTTTTTTTTTTTTTGAGATGGAGTCTTGCTCTGTCGCCCAGGCTGGATTGCAGTAGTGTGATCTTGGCTCACTGCAAGCTCCGCCTCCCGGGTTCACGACATTCTCCTGCCTCAGCCTCCCGAGTAGCTGGGACTACAGGCGCCTGCCACCACATCCGGCTAAGTTTTTTTTTTTTTTTTTTTTTTTTTTTGTATTTTTAGTAGAGACAGGGTTTTACCATGTTAGCCAGGATGGTCTCACTCTCCTGACCTCGTGATCTGCCAGCCTTGGCCTCCCAAAGTGTTGGGATTACAGGCGTGAGCCACTGTGCCTGGCCAAAATAATAAACCTTAACATTCTTATTTTTACATTAAAAATTGAAGACTTTGGAATTTAAAAGATCTACTCAAAGGTTTAATGCTGACAAAGGGAGGGGTGGGAACTTGTAGTTTAATAACCTCTCTCTAGGGAGAAGAATGGTTTTTCCACCTGGGGTGTCTGCCCATTGGTGGAAGCCATACCTTTACTCGGTCCAGCTTTCTGAAATTAAAAGAGCCACATGCTTTCACTGATCTCTGTGAACTGGATGTTACAAATGGGAAACAGCACAGGTACAGGTTATGAGTATTGACTGGAGCTAAACTGCCTGTGCTCAAATCTCAGCTCTTACCTGCTGCCTGTTGCCTAACTTTTCTGTGCCTCAAATGTAAAAGGAAGATAAAAGCATTCATTTCCTATGGTGTGAAGAGTGTTCAAGGAGTTTATGTAAGTCATTAGGATAGTGCCCAGCACATTAAGTGCTCTATGTGTTTCCTATTCTTATATGTGTGTTGTTGCTACCAATGGGGAAATGAAGAATTCCTTAGTCAACCTGAAGCTTGGCAGATAAAATATTTCAAATCTAGGAGTGAAGTGATAAAAGTGTCCTTAGTGAGGAAAAGGTTGAGAATCATTGGATGTACTGTTTGTCCTTCTGGCTGAACTTTAAAGATCATCAAGTAAAGTCAAATACTCAGGCAGCACACAACCAGAAAATGTCTCCTTTCCGGGGAGGATACTGATGGAGAGGTACAAGCAGATTTTCTACTTGCTGAGAACAATTCGGCAAAGAAATAATATAAGCAGACGTCATTTTGAGCATATCCTCCCTTTACAATAGTCACTAGAAAGCTGTTAAACATGCCTGCAGATCAGAATTTACAGCAGAACCCACAGATAAGAATCATAGCGTTTTGGTTTGGAAGGGGCCTCCTATGGTTGCACAAGGAATCTTTAGAAAAATCTTACTTTGCAGAGCTATGTCTTATTTAAGTGATGTTATGCATGGTGAGGATTGCTTTGAAGTTCAATAGAAAGAAAGCATAAGGGTGATAAAATAAAATTCAAATAAACTGAAACAACATGCCAGTTTGGGGACTCAACAGAGTATTTTGGAGTCCCACTGGTAAAATAACATGTCCAGATTAGGCAATTAAGTCAGAGTCCTCATTAGAGAATGTGGAAATATATAAAGAGAGTGCTAGAATTGAACAATACTAAATGGGGTGTTGCTAAATCCTGTTGTGTGTTTGTGGGATCCCTGAGTTAGAAAAAAAGTAAATATCCCCAGGATCAAGAAAGAAATTGAGACTGCCTATTGCTGATAGTTAAAAGGCAGCATGGAAGAGGAGACACATTTGACAAAAGTCAGAGATTCTGGTTCTTGTCTCATGATTTAAGAAGTTAGATAATCTCTGAACTCTATTTTTTAAATTGAGGGTTATAACACCTGCCTACTTTCTTTGCAGGCTTTTGGTGAGAATCAAATAAAACAATGGATATGAAAGCACTTTTGAAACTTTAAAGTGTCAAAAAAAATTCACGTTGTTCCTAAAGATAATTTTTAAAGCAAACTCCAAAAGCAAATATTTCCCATATACAAAGTCTACATTTCTTATTTCAAGAGAGATTGAAAATGGGCTGCTTATTTGCATAAAAGGGATAAAGTAAGAAAAAGTAATGGAGCTAGGAACAAAATGGTTTGTGTTTAATAAGTGAGCAAAAACAATTGTGTTCTGTTTTTCTCTGAAATGTATCCTGGGAGGCTACATAATTGAAATTTTCTGACTCTCAAATGAGCGCAGAACATAAATTTTGACGAGGCCTTGCCTAGCATGAATTCTTGGGATTGTACCCTTCAGGCCTTGAGGGAAAATTAAATGGAGGGCTTCGGGTTCCATTAGGAAGCAATTTTCCTCTGGCTGAGTAAGTCAGGATAATCCTGCTGTGACAGTAGGAACCTTGCCAGCCACCCCAGTGGCACCATGAAAAGATAACCCGAGCTTTTGGGCTTCTTTTTCGGATGCTGTACCCCTGACTAAATTAGGAATGGGGCCAGCGACCCCACAATATTTGCTAGACAGTATTATGTTTCATCCTGACGCTTCTCATGAGGTCTGTGCGATGAACTGAATGTTAAGAATGGGGTGGAGTAAGAGATGGATTATATATTATTACAGACTTTGCTTTAGAAATAAGCTAATTCACAGTATTAACAATGTAGAGGCATAAATAATCAACTGTCCTTTCATAAACCTGGACACTTTTGGGAAAGATGGAGTGAGAGCATATCTGTAAACTCTCATACATTAAATAAAATTATCAAAAAGAATGAATGATATGAAAGAAAACACACATAACACTGAAACTAGAGATTTCTCCAATGAAAAATATTTTAAGACTGTCAGGTACAATATACCTTAGAACATTCTCAAAGATGACCATAGGAAGCACAACACTTACCTTTTTTGGCAGATGCTGTTGGTGCCTGACCCAGATACCCTTCACTGAGCAGGTGCAATCTTCCCCCAGTTGGCTGCTAAGGACACCCAGACTTTATCTTCAACCAAATCCTCTCCCAGCCCCGGACCCCCACCAGGATAGCTAGGGACCATGACTGACCCAGGAGATAAAAGGCTGGCCCCCTGGCGTAAAGATGCAATCAATTCAGAGGTGCAGGTTTTGCTGCAGAGATTCCAAAGGGACCAGGACGGAAGTTACTCTCCAGCTGAGAGACAGTGTCTTGCTTAGCTTTCTTGCTTTCCTTTCTTCTGCCTTACTGACTTCTCTTGAGAACTCTCTCAACACTTTCAAGAAAATCCCCTCCTCAGTCTCTGCTTCTAGGGAACTAGATGTTTTAAAGATAAAACAATGATACATTGTTGTGGATTGCAGGTGAAAACAATTCTGAAAATTTTATCAATACCTTCCAATTGGGAGGGTCCAGGGATTGGAAGTATGGACAGGCTATGAGAAGGAGGGGGAAAATTCCTTTTGGATTTCCCTTCCATAACATAGATCTATTATATTCCAAACAACAGTGGTTCAGTCAGAACTACTTATTTTTCTCTGAGATGGTTTTCTAATAGCAAAACTGATTTGGGAAGAAAACCTAGTGTAGCATATTTATCCATTGCTGAAAAACAAATTACCACAAATCTAACACCTTAAAACAGCACACATTCTGTGGGACAGGAATCCAAGCATGGTTCAGCTGGGTCTTCTGGTTCAGGGTCTCTTACAGACATCAATCAAGGTTTTTATCCGGGCCTGGGGTCCCATCTGAGGCTCAAATGGAGAAGGATCCATTTCCAAGCTCATGTGGTTGTTGGCAGTATTGAGTTCTGTGGGCTGTCAGATTGAGAGCTTCAGCTTCTTGCTGGCTGTTGGCTGGAAGCTGTCCTCAATCTCTTGCCACATGGACCTCTCCAGATGGCAGTGTACTTCATCAAAGACAGTGAGGGGGAGCATCAACAAAGGTGCTGGTAGCAAGAGAAAAGTCAGAATCGAATGCAACATAATCATGTGGGTGACATTTCTTCACTTTTGCTGTATTCTATTAGAAGCAAGTCACAGATCCTGCCCACACTCAAGAGGAGGAGATTATACTGGAACAAAGCCACCAGGAGATAGGGGCCTTAGGGGGCCCTCTTGAAGCCTGCTGCCTCATCAAATAATTTAGAGCAAGAAGGTCTGGAAATGAGGGTGGATCATTTGAAGGATGGGAGACTATCTATTTAGAGCTATTTAACAACTGTAGGTCACTAGCAGTAAGAGGATTAAGGAGGACATGTGCAGTTTCGTCCCACAGAAATCTGATGGAGCTTTTTTTTCTCACACAAGTTTTTGTCTATATGGCCAGCTGAATTAGAGGTGGGAGAGAACTAAGGGCCCCGATGATGGGAAAATATTTTCTCCAAATGCAGTTGATTTCAACAAAAGTACAGAAAATGCCTTCAGGGAAAATGTGCTTTGGCTATAGCATTCTATAGTACCAACTAGCTCCCCACACTCTCGAAGCCACTGAATAATGGAGGTGATGGTATCAACCCACATCATCACCCTCAGCTTACATCTCAGAAACACTATTCACAAAATGTCAGGAAATAATCAGGAAAGTTGAGAGTTAATAGAAAACCTCTGACAATCAATTAAAGATGAGTAAAATGGAGCCCATTATACTTAAAACCCACTGTCCTCACATCCTAGTAATAAATGAGATTAACACATTCTACAATAGTGTGAAAAACCTAGTTGAAAAGCATATATTTAAAGAATATTTATTCATGGATACAAAATAAAATTTTATGTACTATTTCAGACCAATATTAAAGATAATGTAGTATCTGAAATGAACATGAATGCAATATTAAATAATGAGCCATAGAAATTTTTGTTAAGGAACTAAATAAATGAATCAAATAAAAGAAAAGTGCTATTAAAGAAATTAAAGTAGTAAAGAGAAAACTTATCATTGCTAAAAACTGAATCATTAAGATGTAGTTGAGAAAATTACCTAAAACCAAAAAAAGCTGTAAAATATTTATTTTTCATTTTATATATATATAATGAAATATCTATATATATCTATATAGATATATAATTTTCTTTTATTTTAAGTTCTGTGATACATGTGCAGGATGTGCAGTTTTGTTACATAGGTAAATGTGTGCCATGGTGGTTTGCTGCACCTATCAGCCCATCACCTAGGTATCAAGCCCAGCATCCATTAGCTATTTTTCCTGATGCTCTCCCCACCACCCCCGACTCCCACAGGCCCCAGTGTGTGTTGTTCCCCTCCCTGTGTCCACGTGTTTTCATTATTCAGCTCCCACTTATAAGTGAGAACATTTGGTGTTTGGTTTTCTCTTCCTGCATTAGTTTCCTGAGGATAATGGCTTCCAGCTCCATCAGTGTCCCTGCAAAGGACATGATCTTGTTCCTTTTATGGCTGTGTAGTATTTTCATGGTGTATATATACTGTGCTTTCTTTATTCTGTCTATTATTAGTAGAGATTTGGGTTGATTCCATGTCTTTGCTATTGTGAATAGTGGTGCAATGAACATATGCGTGCATGTATCTTTATAATAGAATGATTTTTATTCCTTTGGGTATATACCTAGTAACAGGATTGCTGGGTCAAATGATATTTCTGTCTCTAGGTCTTTGAGGAATCACCACACTGTCTTCCACAATGGTTGAACTAATTTACATTCCCATCAAGAGTGTAAAAGCATTCCTATTTCTCCACAACCTTACCAGCATCTGTTGTTTCTTGACTTTTTCATAATGCCATTCTGACTGGTGTGAGATGGTGTCTTATTGTGGTTTTGATTTGCATTTTGCTAATGATCAGTGATGTTGAGCTTTTCTTCATATGTTTGTTGGCTGCATAATTGTCTTTTTTTGAGAAGTGTCTATTCATGTCCTTTGCTCACTTTTTAATGGGGTTATTTGTTTTTTTCTTATAAATTTGTTTAAATTCTTTGTAGATTCTGGATATTAGACATTTGTCAGATGAATAGCTTGCAAAACTTTTCTCTCATTCTGTAGGATGCAAGGTTGATTCAACATATGCAAATAAATAAATGTGATTCATCACATAAACAGTACTAAAGACAAAAACCACGTGATTATCTCAATAGACAGAGAAAAGGCCTGCGAAAAATTCAATGTTTCTTCATGTTAAAAACTTTCAATAAACTCAATATTAATGGAACACACCTCAAAATAATAAGAGCCAAGTATGACAAACCCACAGCCAACATCATACTGAATGGGTAAAAACTGGAAGCATTCCCCTTAAAAACCAGCACAAGATAAGGATGCCCCTCTCACCATTCCTATTCAACATAGTATTGGAAGTTCTGGCCAGGGCAATAGGGCAAGAGAAAGAAATAAATGGTGTTCATATAGGAAGAGAGGAAGTCAAACTGTCTCTGTTTGCAGATGACATGATCCTATGTCTGGAAGACCCCATAGTCTCAATGCAAAAGCTTCTTAAGCTGATAGACAACTTCAGGAAAGCTTTAGGATACAAAATCAATGTGCCCAAATCACTAACATTTCTATACACTAACAATAGACAGAGCCAAATCATGAATGAACTCCCATTTACAATTGCTACAAAGAGAATAAAATACCTAGGAATACAGCTAACAAAGGAAGTGAAGGGCCTCTTCAAGGAGAACTATTTTTTAATTTTAATTTTTTATTTTTGTAGGTACATAGTAGGTGTATATATTTATGGGGTACATGAGATGCTTTAATACAGGCATGCCATATGAAATAAGCACATCATGAAAAATGGGGTACCCATCCCCTCAAGCATTTATCCGTTGAGTTGCAAACAATCCAATTACACTCTTTTAGTTATTTTAAAATATACAGTTATTATTGACTATAGTCACCATTAGTTATAAAAATGACTAGAAAGAACAGATAACGGTGATTCAACATACCATTGGTTCCCAGGGAAGGGACTAGAACAGAAAAAAATTAAAAAATAGAACAAAATATAAATATAAATATAAAAAAATTTTTCTGAATTGAAGATGGGTCTTCATCTATAGGACTTTCCATGTATCAGACAAAATTAATGAAAATCCACCAATATTGAGGCCTATTCTGATGGGGTTATTGTATTTCAAAGACTGAAAAGAGCTGTAGAAGCCTGTAGAGGTTCAGGGACACATTCCCTAAAAGGGAAAATAGACTTAGGGTTGCTTCTCAGTCATAAAATATGTTAGAGAAGGGTGGAACAGTGTTTTGGAGAAAAATAAGTTCTCCCTCAGTAAGAACTTTTTTTTCAATTTAAAAGCTGATCACCTCTGCAACTTTCAAGGAGAAAAAAATCAAAAATTTTTGTAGACATATTCCAAATAATCAAGGGGAAAACCAAAATAATGAACTCATAAAATGGGGAAATTGAGATATAAAAGGACTAAATAGTTACCTGTTTTAAATCCATTTTCACAACAAATTACATCTAAAATATATGGCCTTACAGAAGTATACAAAGCTATGCATACCAAGAGGTTCATATGTGACTATTTTAAATCAAAACAACCTATTTAGCACTATTTCTCATTCTGTTATTATTCATTTAGATTTAACTATGTATTTTATAAGAACAATTGCACCATCGTATTGTCTTGTTTTCATATTTATCTTGAAGTCTCTCATTCTGAATCGTTGGAAGTTTGGATATGATCTGTTCTACGTTGGTTTCCTCAGGTGTGATTCTTCACATGTGGGAGTTTATTTTCTTCATTGCTGCATTTACGCAGGTGAATAATATCTTACCTAGGTAGAAAATTCTTATATTGCAATCTTTTTTCTTAAAAGTCTGTAGAAGTTGTTAGCTCACTAAATTCTATCTTCTAGTTTTTCAGATGAGACATCCAGTGCTTTTACTCCTTGCTAGAAATTTCTCCTTTCCACTGGCATTGGGTAGAGGTTTATCTTTGGAGACGTTTTTTTTTTTTTTTTTTTTCTTTTTAACCAGGATATTTATGCTGTAGTGCATGTCTATTTTAGTCAATACTGAAATTCAGTGATGCCTTTCAATCTGAAGGCTCAAAAATTTCTTAAACTCAAATTTTTGTTTACTAGTTTTCTAATTATTTCTTTCTTCTGTTTGTATATAAGGTCTTCTGAATTTGTTATCAGTATTAGTTTCCAAAGGCTGCTGTAACCTATTAACCATAAACTGGGGACATACACAACTCAGATTTATTCTATAACCGTTGTTGAGGCTTGAAGTCTGAAATTAGGGTGTCAGTAGGGCTGTACTCTCTCTTTAGAACCTGGGGAAGAATCCTCCTTGCCTCTTCTGGCTTCTGGTGGTTGCCAGCAATTCTTGGTGCTTCTTTGTGGCAACATAACTCTAATCTGCCTCCTTCTTCACATAGCCTTCTTCCCTGGGTCTTCTCTGTGTCTTCAAATTTCTACAAGGACACCAGTCATTGGATTTATGGCCCACCTTAATCCCAAAGATGTCATCTTAACTTGACTACATCTGCAAAGACCCTATTTCTAAATAAAGTTACATTAACAGGTACTAGAGGTTAAGACTTTAACATATCTTTTTGAGGGACACAATTCAACCCTTGTCATCCAAGTCTCTAACCTCATGATATCTATCTCTTTGTTAGATACTTCTTATACTTAATCTATCAACTTTTAACATTAAAAAGGTTTTTATTTGATAAAAATACTTTTATTTAGTGCTGTGATTGAATCTCCTTAGGTGCTCTTAATACTTTTGCTAAAAGCTGCCTGTTCTCAATGTTCTGCTTGTTCTGCTTCTCTGTGGATGGCCAGAGCTCCATAGCTGTGTTTTTTTTCCTTCATCCACTCATGTCTCATTTTTTGGGCATGGGGTTGTTGCTATACCTTACCTGGAATCTACCTTATGTGGAGGTGGAAATTGAACAAGTTTCATTCCCTTAGAGCCAGTGATGTAGCAGATGGTGACTTGTCAATCTCCCATTTGGGTCCCAAAGGGAAAGGTTCTCTGCTGTGCTTGTCTCAGTTGCAATATGCAGGTCAGGAGTTTCCCACGGACCCCTGCACATGACTGCATTTGGATTTGAGGAGTTACCTTAGGAATGCCTAAAAAGTACCAATGTTTAGTCTCTATCCTTGGTTTAACTGGCCTGGATTCCTAGTCTTTGGATTACATGCAGAACTTCTTATACTTTCATGTACACGTGATTCCCTGGGCATCTTGTGGAAATACAGATTCTGATTCATGATGTCTGAAGTAGGCTGTGATTCAGCATTTCTAACAAATTGCCACATTTTGCTTCTGCTGCTGCTGCAGGTAATTAGAGCGCTGATTCTCAAACTTGGCCATGCATTGGGAACACCTGGTAAACTTTCAAAACACTAAGGGTTCTACCCCACCCTCTGAGATTCGCATTTAATTGATATGGGGTGTTGCTTGGGTAATAGGAATTGTAAAAGCTCCTCAGGTGTTTCTAATTTGGTGAACCACCGTGATAGAGCTTTTCCAGCCTCAGGGCTAGGGTTGACTCAGCTGCTGTGTTTAGTTTCCCTGAAGTTCCTCTCCGGGATCCTTAGTGGTCAGAGGACAGACATCTCTCCAGGTTGCCAGGTATTATAATTCACATCCTTGGGCTTCTTGCTGCCATCCCAGTGTTGTCTCCAACCAGAGGGAAAAACGTTGCAGGTTTGTTCTTTTCGTATTATAATTCACATCCTTGGGCTTCTTGCTGCCATCCCAGTGTTGTCTCCACCCAGAGGGAAAAACGTTGCAGGTTTGTTCCTTTCATTAGCAGAGCCCAAGACCTTACTTATAATCTTCAGACCCTGACTGGTGTCTTCTGCACTCCAGAGGCTGATTGTTGGATTGAAAGCAGGCTGACAGGGCACTAAGAATGTGTTTAAGTGATTCTTTTCTCCAAATTGAAATGTTTACTTTTTAAGAGTTTTTTTCTTATTCTCTGATTTGTTTTTTGCTTTTACAATACAGTATTTTGCTTTATAGAAGGGATATCTTCTTAAACTTCACTGAGGACTCTACCTGAAGTTTTTTTTTTTTTGGTCATTTCCCTTTTACTTTTTCTAAAGGTTATTATAATTTTTAAATCTTGGTATTAATCTTGCAGCCTGCAGTATTTCCTTAAATGTCTCATTTGCTCATATTTAGAACTGGGTGATGGTAAATCTGACTGCATCATCTATGGTGGTAGTTAAGATTTATTAACTTCAGGCTTTAGGGTAAGGGGAAGAAACTGGCTATTTGGTTAGGGAACACCTGTGTAATAGAATGAGGTGGTATGTGCTCCCTGGAACAAGCATCCAGCTTTAGTTGCCTTAGTTCTTTCCAGGTTTGTCTGTGGTTAAGTGTAAAGCTTTGGGCCACTAATGGCAGTCAAAGGAGAGGGACAAATTATTTCACAAATTTCTGTACATAGACCTTTGTGTACTGTCCATTTTTAACTTTTTAAATAGTTTTCTCCTTTTGTCATATTGCCCTTTACTTGCTGCGCTGCTGAGTGGATCAGCTTTTTCCTTCACAGATGCTCTTACCACATGTGCTCCAGACTGGCTTTTTTTTGCTATGCCTCATCTGCTGAGATTCTTCCATTTACCTCCCATTGCTTATTGCTGGCTACGCTCGTATTCCTTCATTTGTTGTAGGCTTATACTTTTTTAAGATTCTATTACTTTTACACTGTTGGTGGGACTGTAAACTAGTTCAACCATTGTGGAAGTCAGTGTGGCGATTCCTCAGGGATGTAGAACTAGAAATACCATTTGACCCAGCCATCCCATTACTGGGTATATACCCAAAGGACTATAAATCATGCTGCTATGAAGACACATGCACACGTATGTTTATTGCGGCATTATTCACAATAGCAAAGACTTGGAACCAACCCAAATGTCCAACAATGAGAGACTGGATTAAGAAAATGTGGCACATATACACCATGGAATACTATGCAGCCATAAAAAATGATGAGTTCATGTCCTTTGTAGGGACATGGATGAAATTGGAAATCATCATTCTCAGTAAACTATCACAAGAACAAAAAACCAAACACCATATATTCTCACTCATAGGTGGGAATTGAACAATGAGAACACATGGACACAGGAAGGGGAACATCACACTCTGGAGACTGTTGTGGGGTGGGGGGAGGGGGGAGGGATAGCACTGGGAGATATACCTAATGCTAGATGACACATTAGTGGGTGCAGCGCACCAGCATGGCACATGTATACATATGTAACTAACCTGCACATTTTGCACATGTACCCTAAAACTTAAAGTATAATAATAATACATAAATAATAAAAAAAAAGAAAACTTTTCTTTAAAAAAAAAAAAGATTCTACTACTATCAAGGAGTATGAGGAGGACGGGGAAGACCTGCTGTCTCATCTCAGAAACATTTTAGCATCATTGTTAATGGCTATACAATAATTAATTTTGCTGATGTAACATATTAATCTAATGAGAACTCTGTTGGAATTCAATTTCTCCCCAGTTTTTACAACTATAAACAATTGTACAATATACAACCCTGGGATAAAATCTTGTTTCAAGCCTTTCAGACAAAAGCTTACAAATATAACTGTTAGGTCAATTTAGGTATATTTTAAAAATATGTTAATAAATTATGCCCACATCTTTTCAATATGGATTGCATCAATTTACATCTCCCATTCTCCAGTGTTGCCTCCAACACTGGATAAAATAATTATTTCCTTAATCTTTCACTGTCTTTTAAGTTAATAATTTGATCTCATTTTAATATTATCATTTTGAAAAGACCAACCACCCTATGTAAATAGCATTGCCCTTTGCAAGCCAATTACTCCCTGTAATTTTAAATTATTTTAGGCTCCTTATAATATTGATCAGATCTAAATGTATTGATCCCTCCCACTTCTCAAACTCCATGAGATCAGAGTCATTATCTTTATGGCTTTATTCCCTAAATTTAGGAAAAGTATTTGTAGGTACACAGTAAGTATTTTCTGAATAAAAAATATAGGAGAAAGCATGTTTATTAAAGCATTTTTAAAGAGATATTTCAGTCAATTACAAATGACTCAATATTCAAGTATTTCATTTTCACTCTAATTTTTATAACCCAAACTACTCTTCAATCTGGACCTTTCATTTGTATACAGTTACAAATACAACCCAAGCACCAGAAGGTCTGTAGAATGAATTCGCTCTTTGGTAAAGAGATTTATATCTACGAAACTATAGAGGACCTGTGGTAATTATTGGGTGTATCCCAGAAGTCATCCCTGTAGCACCGATTTTATTGCAAGAATATGCATGCTTAACTAGTTTTTGTCTTTATTTTAAGCGCTTTAACCCCACACTGATCCCAGGACTTCTTTTCCTGTGATTTTTTAATGGTAGGAAATGGAACTACCAGCTCTCTACAGATGTCAGAGAGCCAGCCTTGCAGACAGCTGGAAAAAACAGGTGTACAGAAATCCAGGGACTATTAACATATCTAATTGAATAAGTGTTGGTAGTTACAAAAGTAATTAAGAATAAAAGAAAGCCTTGTGAAGCGCCTAACAAAAACATTGCTGGTAATCACTGCCAACTTAAAGCTCATTTTGTGAAGCTTTCTAAAAAATGGGATCATTTGATATAGAATATTACCTTTTGTCTTGTAATTTACATAGGTATCTTTAATGAACAGCTCGTTTATAGTTCCACTGAGTTTTTCCTGTGTGTGTTGCAGGCGTCTTTGAAACAGCAGTATCAGCAATTTAGAGTCAGCAGGCTTCCTCCTGAATATTTATGGAAAGATTTCAAAAGTACACTTACCAGTTTTCTTTAAGTTGTCTTTATGAAATTACCACGTTTCATCCTATACTAGAAACATTCTTCTTTTATAATTAAAAAATGGAAGTTTTTCCACCATGGCTCCTTTGTTATAATTTTCATATTGAATCCCATGAATGATTCCATATAACATTTTATGACTGTTTTTCTAATTATAAAAGAAGTAGATAATTATTGTAAAACAAAGGAAATTATTTACATAAAAAATATATCACACATGCTACAGCCACATGGAGAGCATGTATTTTATATATATATGTATATATGTGTATATATGAGTATATATTTGTGTGTGTGTGTATATATGTGTATATATACATATATATATATATATATATATATATATATATATATATATATATATATATGTATGCTGACTCTAAATTGCTGATACTGCTGTTTCAAAGATGCCTGCAACACACACAGGAAAAACTCAGTGGAACTATAAACGAGCTCTTCATTATATACATATATACACACATATATACATATATACACATATACATATATATACATATATACACATATGTATATATATATGGTGGCTAGCAGTATATTAGTTTGCTAGGGCTGACATAACAAAGTACCATACACTGGATAGCTGAAGCAACACACATTTATTTTCTCACAGTTCTGGGGGCTACTTGTCTGAGTCTGGGTGTTGGAAGGGTTGCTTATTTTGAGACTTCTATCCTAGACTTGCAGATAGTCATCTTTCCCTGTGTTTTCGCCGCATCTTGTCCCACTATATATTTGCCTGCCTGTGTTCTTATCTCCTCTTTTTAAAGAGGATCAGTCATATTGGATTGGATTTCAATCTAAAGACCACCTTTTAACTTAACTATTTCTTTAAATACTTTGTATTCAGATATACATTCTGAGGTACTGGGGGTAAGAACTTCAACATACGCATTTCGGAAGGACACAATTCAGCTCCTAACTTGAGGCTTTTAAATGTTTGTCTTAACAGCTTTATTGAGATGTAATTGACCTATAATAAGTTGCACATGGGAATTGGATAAAATTATACACATTTTCCATGTGTAATTTAATGTAATTTTTGACATATGTATTTACCCATGAAACTATTACCGTAGACAATATAATAAACGTATGCATCCCCTTCAGAAGTTACCTTATGCTCCTGTAATTTCTCTATCCTTCTCTTTCCTGCTCTGTTCCCATCCTCAGAAAGACACTAATCTACTATATGTTAATTTGCATTTCCTAGAATTTTATAAAATGGAAACATATACATATAGCATGTGCTTTTTTTTGTTGGTCTGGCTTTTTTCATTCAGGATAATTATTCTGAGATTCTATCATGTTATATTGTGTATTACAGCATCTAGCACAATACCTGGCACATGACAGGTACCCTCATTATTAACTCAATAAATAAATAAAATATAAATTAATGGCTATTTTAGGAGGTTAAGGAGATTGGACATTACAACATATGCAGTTAAATGACACTCATAGTTTTGGTGTTCTCTCTGAAGCTTTTACAAGTGAATGAATGAACCAGGTCTATAGTTTAGAAAACGTCTCTGATGGCAGCTTGAAGGATGGATTTGTGGCAGGGAGAGGCTAAAAGCAGGGGACCAATTATTAAAAATTCTGACATAATGGTTCCTATACATGGGATTTGCATATGGGCATCCACGTTAAAATATCCAGTAGGCAATTGAAAATGGAAATGAGTAGGAAGATTGATTTTTTTTCTTTTTGGTTGGAGGAGTGATGGGGAGGTAGGAGATGGAAAGGTGAGTGAGAAAATTAGGATGGGATTTCCTAAATCTATTTGTAAAGTTGCCAGATAACTTTATCCCTGTATGACAATACAGAGGAAAGAAAATGGGTATCAGAAAAAACCAATTACAGTCTCAAATATTACCTTTCTCACTAACCTTAAGTAACACTGCCTTTGTGCCTGTTTGCTCATGTTTTTTAGGATTTATTGTTCCTGGTGTTTTCAGACTTCACAGTGATGAACTCAGATGTGGATCCTTATTTCCTGTGCCAGGATGTTTCATCTTGAAGACTGGTGAGATTGGGAAATTCCTTTTGATTATTTATTTTGTAAATTTTTTCTTCTCTGTGTTCTCTATAATCTGTTTTTTGAAATTTCATTTCTTGGTTAGTGATACTGATATTTTTGGCTTGATGTGTCTTTATATTTGCTCTCATATTTTTCATTTCTTTGATTATTTCCCAACTTGACTATTGAAATTTTTATTTTGTTAATCTTATTTTGTAATTTCCCAAGAGGTTTTTCTGGTTTCTTTTATTATTACTTTTTACATAGTGGCCTATTCCTGATTTATGAATATTATGTTGTCTGGACCATTTCTTAGAATACTAATTAGAGTGTTTTAAACTTCTTTTTTGTTCCTTATCTTATCGCTGCTTACCCCTTCCCCTTTTGTTTGTTTCAGTCTTTCTTTTGCATGTTGTATTTTTTTTTCTCAAATGTTGATTCTCAGCGGCAAATTTGCTTTTAATAACAAAGTTCTTCCTGAGCATCTAATTTATTTCAAAAGAATTCTGCTTCTATCCCCTTTTCTTAACTTGGGGTAAATGCCTGCCTGAAGAATGTTATCTATGAAGGTGGTGAGCAGGAGTTTAAAATGGTGGAAATGACAGTTCTGTATTTGAAGTGTCAGCTAATCTTCTTTTCAGCCTCACTTCTAATTCATGGTCTACATTGTATTGAGAATTACAAGATATTCTCTCCGGGGATTTGCTGGTTGAATAAATGCCTTCTTTACTGCATTCTCTCCACACTTTTTTTGTTGTTGTTGCAACATTCCTTCCTCTGCTTCATTAACATTTTAACATCCATCTTCCTAAAGTTTGTTGATATCTGTATTGTGCTAATAGATCCGTTTCTTTTTTTTACTTCTTAAAAAAAGATACATAATATTTATACATATGGATGGGGTACATGTGATGTTTTGTTATATACGTAGATCACATAAATGGTAAGTCAGAGTATTTAGGGTATTCATCACTTTGAGTGTTAATTGTTTCCATGTGTTGGGAACATTTCAAGTCCTCCATTCTAGCTATTTTGAAATACATGTTATTGTTAACTATAGTCATCCTATTCTGCTATCAAATATTAGAACTTATTTCTTCTAATTATATGTTTGCACCCTAACCAACCTCTCTTCCTCAACTTCTCCCTCCCACGCCCTTTTCAGCCTCTCATATCTATCGTTCTACTTTCTACTTTCATGAGATCAAGTTTTTTAGCTCCTACTCATGAGAACATGCGATATTTGTCTTTCTGTGCATGGCTTATTTAACTTAACAGAATGACCATTAGTTCTGTCCATGTTGCTGCAGATGACATAATTTCATTCTTTTTACAGCTGAGTAGTATTCAATTATGTATATATACCACCTTTTCTTTATCCATTCATCTGTTGATGGATACTTAGGTTGATTGCGTATATTGCCTTGTGAACAGTATTGCAGTAACCCTTTCTTGTTTTATTTTTGTGTTGTGGGTTTTTTTTTTTATGTTTTAGTCTTTTATCATTTTATGGTCTTGGCTTGATCTATGTTTGACATCTTGAAACCTGTAAGAGGAGCAATACTGTCTAACTTAAAAATATTCTGAAGATTAAATAACATAATATATGCAATATTTTAAATTAACATATTAAATACTAGTCTAAGTTTTCCATTATGTAAGAGCATTTTCTAACAGATGTTCTGCCAGCTAACCCCAAAGTATATGTAATAAAATTATAGCCTATATAATATTTTATTTTCAACATCCTGGTCACAGAAAGAAGATACACTAACTACTCAGAGGAAGATTCTATAGGTTGTATTTTTTTTAGAAAACTTACCGTAGTTCTACTTTCCTTTCGAATTCAGTTTTGATCTGTGAGATCCTAAGCAGAGAAATCCAGTTGAGCCCACTGATATGCTTTGTATTTTTGTCCCTACCCAAATCTCATGTTGAATTGTCATCTCCAGTGTTGGAGGAGGGGCTTGGGAGGAGGCGATTGAATCGTGGGGTAGATTTCCCTCTTGCTGTTCTTGTGATAGTGAGTTCTCATGAGACATGGTTATTTAAAAGTGTGCAGCACCTTTCCCTTCGTTCTCTCCTCACGTGTAAGACATGCCTCCTTCCTCTTCGCTTTCTGCCATATTTTAAGTTTCCTAAGGTCTCTCCAGCCATGCTTCCTACGTAACCTGTGGAACTGTAAGACAATTAAACCTCTTTTCTTTATAAATTACCCAGCCTCAGGTAAATCTTTATAGCAATGTGAGAATGGATTAATACACTCAGACGTCTGCACTACAGAACTGTGAGATAATAAATGCGTATTGTGTTGAGTTTCTTAAAGTTGTGGTAATTTGATATGTAATAATAAAAAATATATACAGATAGACTGGAGGAGGGAGGGACAGAGTCAGAGAGACAAAGTTATCCCTGTATCTCCTGTCTAATTGTTTACCTATAAGCAAAGTTTGTGTGCCTTGGAAGTCCTTAGTAATTAAAAATGGATAGTCGCATATTTTATTGTATCTTCAACACCCATAATGCACACAGTCAATAGCCAGTGATTAAGTAAATATGCATTAGATCCATAGATAATAATATGGTAAATTTTATTATTTTTCAGGGCATTTACTGCCTCTCCCTTTGGCAGATTTACCCTGTCTTGCTCCACTGATGTAAGGCTAGGTCTGTGCTATTGTCTGAATATTTGTGTCCTTCTCAAATTTGTATGTTGAAAACCTAATCACCAATGTGATCATATTTGGAAGTGGAAATTTTGGTAGGTAATGAGATTGTGAAAACAGAACCCTCATAAATGAGATTAGTGCCCTTACAAAAGAGTCCCCAGAAGCTGCCTTGCCCCTTCTACCATTTGAGGACACAGCTAGAAGGCAACATCTATGTTGAGGGCCCTCAGTCAGACACTGAATCTGCCAGTGCCTTGATCTTGGATTTCTCAACCTCTAGAACAGCAAGAAATATATTTCTGTTGTTTATAAACTATTCAGTTTATGATATGTTGTGATAGCAGCCTAAATAGACTAAGACAGTAACAAATAACTGACAATGAAATATGAACGGAAGTGGCATTTGCCATGAGGCCTGGGTATGTGGATGGGAATACCCCTTTAGCCTGGGTCCTAGCATGAAGGTACCATGAAACAGAGCTGAAGCTAACCTGTAATAGACATGAAGAATGAACAAGAGATTCATGTTTATTATCATAAGCCTGTGAGAATCATGAATCACTTTTTACCACAGCGTGACTTGCCTAAGCTGACTGAATTAATTCTTGGCACATCCAGTGGAGACCTGCTATAACAAAAACTGAAAATAAATGATACTGGCTCTAAGGTGAGAAATAGATGATGAAGAATCTATTATTAGAAACTAGAAAGATGGTAGCTCAAGTTATGTAATAGTGTGATATTAATACAAGGATTACTGTAATAACTTGGAACTCATGGCTTTAGGCAGAGATGTGGGAAACAGAGTATCAGCAGTGCTTCCTGCTTACTATGACAGAATTTAACAGACCATTTAATAGTAGTTTTCAACCTTGGCTATAAAGTAAAATCAACTGTGAATAAAAAAGGCTGATTAAAACTCAGCCTTTTGATAAAGACCTAAGCAAGGGTATGGTTTTCCTGTCCTTTGTTAAAACCTCTGAATGCATTGTGATTGTGCTCAGTAGATCATTTTAGTTGGACAAAAAGCTCTAAAAAAAGGATGTAGTCTTCTCATAGGAACGTGTTCAACTCAAGAAATGGAAAATTAGGTCTGCTATTGACACATATTGCTGACTGGAATAAAACAAATTTTTAAAAATCAAAATTTTGAGGGTATTGAGTTATACCACTAAAAACTTCATCAGCTTGGCCTAAAAGAGACTAAGACTTAAAACAACTATTGAGTACCCAACCTTTTCTATGCAGGAAGAAGACGGAGAAAGCAGCTCAGTCTTTTATGCCTATGTCAGCTGTGGCCAAGGAGGGTAATAGAAATGTAGAACCTTCCAGAAGGTGAAGCAAGAGTCAAGGAAAATAACAGGATGCAGGCTACTATTAGGAAGCAGAACTGGGGCCTTATCAAGTAGTATTTCCACTCCAGAGTAGTAGACTCTCTGACATCTACCTCACAGGATTTCAGAATTGCTGTGAAGAGGTATTAAGTAAGTCTCTTTTCCAAATGGAAATGCTTACTGTGGTTTCTTGGACTTTTGCCTATCATCTTACTAATATATTGAGTTTTTAGAATGCAAATAGTTTTTTTTTTTTAAGTGCATAGGTATCTGGATCAAGGAGTCAACAACTGGTTCTAATGAAGAGATTATCTTGAAGTCTTGAACTTTGAGTATGATGCTATTATCGGGTGGGACTTTGGAGTTTTAACTGTTGAGTAGGCTTAGCCTCATGACTTGGTTTGGTCCATTGAATGTTGAGTGGAAGTGATATAGGCAACTTCCAAGCAGAAGCTTTAAGAGTTATTGCATGATCCCACTGTCTTTTCTATTTACCATAAAAGCTGGCAGGGTCCCATATGGATCAGGGGTGACCTTTTAATCTGGGCCCCAGAATGAAGAAAATATAAAGCAGAGGTAAATCTCTCTCACAGTGGACATGTAAAATGAGCAAGAAATAAATATATCTCCGAAATTTCCTCTTCTTTTTAGTCGTCATCATTTTTGTCATATTCTTGCTGCAGCAGCCTAAGCTGACTGATATAAATGGTCATCCTTTTAGATGAATATAATCAAATACCACCACACAAATAATGCAAAACTATAAAAATTCTGCTGAGTAATAGGAGGCTTTTTTATTTAAAAAGGTCAGTTTTTAATAAGAGCTGATGAAATTGACCTCAGACATAACTCCTAGCAAATAATTGTTAATGGATGTAACAACCTCTGGGGTGCCTAGAACATAGGTTGGAAGATAGAAAATATTATTACAGTGGGTCAGGAAGATGAGAAAATTGAGAGAATGAGGCAGCAGCTAGGAAGTGAAGTGTCAGAGTTTTATTACTGTTTAACACTTTTCATATATTTCTGTGTGAGAGAGATTACTGAGCAATCACAATTGCCCACTAAGGATGGGACTTACCTGAAGTTAGAGTTCTATTCTTAATGCTAAAACAGGATAATCTCAAATATCTGGGTGAACTGTTATAAAACACAAAGAACTTTCAACTTTTCGAAGGAAAAATACAAACAGAAACCATTTTTTTTCTTATAGGAAGTATGTCCTCTTATTAGCATAGTGAACTTGGTTTTTGCATAAGATAGTGTAAGCCAACCCTCATAAAGTAGCGCTTTGGGCAGGCACATGGTTGGTGGCCATATCAACTAGTAGATATGTACACATTACTACCCAGAGTTCGTCAAACTACAAGGTTTGAAGCCATAGCCCACAAGACTCCTCATTTATTTTTATTTTTTGAGATAAGGTCTCTCTCTGTCACCCAGGCTGAAGTGTAGTAACATGATCATAACTCATTGCAACCTTGAATTCTTAGGCTCAAGGGATCCTCTCATCTCAGCCTCCTAAGTAGCTGGGACTAGAGGCACATACTATCACACCTGGCTATTTTTTTTTCTTTCAATTAATTTTTTTTTTTCTTTTAGAGACAGGGTCTCAGTTTGTTGCCCAGGCTTGAACTCCTAGACTCAAGCAGTCCTCCTGCTTCAGCCTCCCAAAGTGTTGGAATTACAGGCATGAGCCACTGCACCTGGCTAAGACTCCTCATTTCTTATGCCAGCTGCAATTTTGGAGGATTTCCAAAACCACCCTTAGGTTAGATAATTTTCTAATAGAACTTGCAAAACTCATGAAATCTATTAGACTCATGGTTAAGGTTGATTACAGGAAAAGAATACAGATTAAAATCAGCAAAAAGAAGAGATGCATACATAGGGCAGAGTCTGGGAGATTTATAAATGCAAAGCTTCCATTGTCCTCTCCCGTGGAGTTGGGAGGGGTTGCCCTCTGGGCCTTAATGTGATCATATGCAAGTACTGTTAACAAGAGAAATTTCACAATTTTGGTCCAGAGTTTTTATTTGGAAGTCATTATCTAGACATGATTGTTTGATTAATTGTCCACATGTTTGAATTCAGTGCCCAGGTTGACTGATACCCCATGAAGCCTCTACCTTAAATCATATGGTTGGTCTTTCTAACATGGCCAGAAGGACCCCTCAAAACTACTAGGTATGCCTGCCCACTCTAAGATCCAATGTGGCCACTCACACCTAAACAATGACACTCTAATCAGGTATGACATAAAGTGTCTCCCAGATACCCCAAGGAAAAAGCCAGATCTCTCTTTAAACAGGACCAAATTATTTGCTAAGCACTTGCCCGTAAGAAAAGACAGTATAATTCTTCCAGCAGGCAGATGATAACTTGTAATGCTCCCTAAGTGCCTGAGAGAGAGCAAGCGAAAAGGAGTGTTGAAGATGAGCTTGCTTTAGCCCAGTTCCATAACTTGAAATCAATAAAGAGAAGCCTGTGCCCTATGGCTAACATACAACAGAAGGATACCTTGGGATCCTTTGCCTCACACTATTTGTTACATCCACCACTTCACAGCTTTCTTCTGTACTAGATGTCTGACCTCTGACCTCATATTTCCTGTTTGTAGTCCAAATGTACCCCTTTTGGATTGGACTCTGTCATCCAGTACATCTGCTATTCTTCCAAGTTTTTTGTCCCACGCACATTTATGAGTGTGATTTCCATTAGGTTGGTGCAAACGTAATTGCAGATTTTGCAATTAACAGTAATGTCAAAAACCACAATTACATTTGCACCAACCTAATAGTTTGTTTAATACATCAAACTTTGGAGAGAACAGACCAAGGACATACTTGTGGTGTTGCATTCAAATTTATTTACATGCAAACTTTGGGGATATTTATTCAACCGGTTCTTATTTTGCCTTCTTTGAAATTACAATAGGATAGGAGAGAGAATAGGAAACATGTCTGTACTTACAGGATCTATTGCAGGTCTGGCCCAGTCAATTACCCAAGAGTCATAGCCGTGGGTATATGACCTTGAAATTTTTCATAATTCTATTCTACATGAAATGACCCTAGGGCTACACTGTTCTGTTCCCTTCAGATTTTAGGGACATCCAAAGACATACACAACATTTCTGTATAACTCTACCCTGGTCTCATTTATTGTTTGCACTAGTGGAATGATAAAAATAGCTTTAAATAGATTTATTAAACCCACTTGGCTTTCTAAAAATTGTCTTAATTTGCACAACTTTAAAACCTTCTTGCTAGTCATCAGAGATCATCAAAGTTGAAAGATAACTGATGTGTTTGATTTTTCCTAATTTGCTATCATTATAATAAAGAATGTTGACAAAAAGAAATTCGTAATATAACCCAAACAATCCCTTTAGATTGATTGCATGTTCATTGAGCAACTATGTCCTAGAAAAGAATGATCTCTATCACAAGACCACATTAGTAAATACATTAGGCTAGGTAGTATTTAGCTTGAGGTATCTTGCCTAGTTGTTTGGATCTGATGACTTTCAGAAGGCTTCCATCACAGAAGCTTACAGGGCAATCATAGCAATGTGAATTAAAGCAGCTTGGCTATATTGTTATTACAAAATTACAAAATTACACTAGCAAAAAAAAATAGTGATCATGATGAAATTCAATGTTGATAGGACTTTAGGCAGTATATTCACTGCTGGTGGCAGTATAAGAGGATTTAGTGTTTCTATTAATCAATTGGATCTTCTTCAAAAAGAGTTAAAATTTGTGTCACTTGACCAAGAATTTACCCAAAAGGAAAAAGATATTCAATTTTAAGTTATTTACTGAATTGCAGAGTGTTTTTATATTGAAACAGTTGAAATAACCCCAATCTCACTTACAGGGAAAAAAATCCCATAAGCATCATGGGATTCTGAACATTGGGAAGGTGGTTTAAGGGTATCTTGCATTGATTTCCAAATCTGGCTGCATATCACAGTCTCCAAGGGAGATTTTTATTTCCTTGTTTGATGTTCCTTCTCCAAAGGTGATGTATTTATCTGGAATTCATGGAATAGATGTAGCAAATGGGACAGGGAATATAAATGAAGCCACTGACAATGTTTTTCCTTATGGGTTTTATGGGGAACTGAACTTAAATGCTAATTGTTTGGTTTATAAAGCAGCTTGCCACACTTGAGTCCATAATTACTCTCCCATGAATACAAGTCCCTACTATCCTTCAACAGAATGAAGATAATTCTTTCATTAATCTTCATGGTATGGTGATGAAAGGGAGTGGGCCTCTCTGTAGAACCAAAAAATTGAGCATACTGGATGTCTCCTCTATACAGCCAGTTTGTGCTACTTCCAGACTAGTTGGTTTAATAGCATTTAGCTCAGATAATGTGAACACAGTGTCTTTTTTGTCTTTATCTTCGAAGGTGGTAAAATCACAAAGGGAGAGGTACTATAGGAGTGTTTTCCAGAACTGAGGTCACAAAGCTAAACCATTCTATCTCAGATTCTCTGCAAGAAGCCACAACTACATGACAGTTGGAGCTACAGACGCTTTCTCCTCTCAATGTCTGTGGCTAATGGTAGTGGTATTGTTGATGAGACAGTTTACCTGTACTATCTGGCAGAATGGTTGGTCTTTGATCAGTGGACTGGCCAGTTGGAAGAAAGAAGCTGACTAGCGCTTTGCTGTCTGACCCTTATTGCATGTACCCATATATCTGTGTGAGACGAAGAACTAGAAAGTGTTCAGGTCAGAGGTAAATATCTCTGGGAGAAACTGTAGGCTCTGAGTAGATTCTGAATTAAGCTAACTCTGTGGTGTATGATTCTTCATTTGAGCTTCCTTAATTGCCCTAGAATCACTTGCCACTGGAGGGATCTACTAGAATAGCTGTGGGAAGAGACAGCTTAGAAGAAAACATTAGTCATTAATGGTAATTGGGCAAAAGTTGGGGTAGGGATAGAGGGTTAGGATGGGGCAGATTTGGGGGTTGGGGAAGAACTGGAGGATGAAAATCTTGGCATTGAAGGCCTGGAGCACGTTTGTTTCTCTGGTTAGTGAAGTTTGCAGGTCTTCTACAATACAGTGAACCCAAGTGACAGTGAAATTGAGCCATATTCTCTTCAAAGGAGCTGCTATGTGTGCATCACAGCACACTGGAGCATTACAGTGGAGTTCTGAAATCCTAATCCATCTGAGGATAATAGCTGCAACTTACCAATCAGGAAATACTGGAGGCTGGGGTGGTGGGTGAACAGAATTCTGGGCTAGGGTCTCAGAAGCTGGGTCTCCTCATGGGAGCAGGCAGGGATGTCCACATAAAGGGGCACTGCTGTAAGAGCCAGGTAGGGCAGCTTTCCTTGGGGTGCAAAACCTATTCTAATGGGTGGGTAAAATGCAAGAACTTGAATCAAAGTGAAGGGTCTGCAACAATGGTCAGGCAAAAGAGACTGGCATGAAACTGAAGAGGATCCTTGAGGCAAGAATTTAAAGAAGGAAGCTGTTTTACTGCAGTGACTTCTAGTGAAAACAAGCATATATTCTGAATAAGAAAAGGTCAAATGTTGGAGAGTTTTTGTTTTGTTTTGCATTTTTTAAGCTAGTAAGAAAGACAACTACATGTATTTTTTTAAGCTTTAAGAATTTTTCTCTTTCGTTAAGGTTAGGGAATTAAATTTTCCCTTAATGCTGATTATACCTTTGTTTTGAAGGAGCCAAATTCTTTTTTTTTATTATGTAAAAGTAAAATGGAGACATACTCCAGACTTGAAGATTTCTGAGGCTCTGTAAGTTGGTCTATGTGATAGACAGGATTGCATAACTGTGGCTGTATCCTTGAGAGAATTATGTCTATTATAAATACTGATCTAGAATAAGCCATGCCTGAAACCAGCTGCTTCATCATATGGACAAAGATCCTGTAGGAGGGATGTGTAGCAAGCCTGGTCTCTATCTTGAATTATAGGAAAGAATGATACTTGGTTTGGATAAGCTCAAATTGGGCTGGTAGGTTAATATCCCGAACACTTGCTTGAGTTCAGCCTTTGTTGATGATGGAATGCTGGATTCTAGTATAGCTCAGGATCACAGGGGCGGCCCTCATCCATGTGAGTGAGAAGACATTGGGGGTTGTTTTCCTTTGAAGGTGAGAATTTAAAACCCTAAGCCTCCCAACAGGCTGAACAGACACCCTCTTGGCAAAGTGGACCTCAGAGAAACCTTAAAATCTGTGTTGCCACTCATGATGGGATGGGTGTTATACACCCTTTCTCACAAATTGCCATTAGACTTTTGTATTAGGCCATTCTTGCATTGCTATAAAAAAATACTCGAGACTGGGTAATTTCCAAAGAAAAAAGGTTTAATTGGTTCATGATTCAGCAGGCTGTATAAGAAGCACAGTGGCATCTGCTTCTCAGGAGACCTCAGGAAGCTTCCGATCATGGCAGAAGGCAAAGGAGGAGCAGGCACATCACGTGGTGAAAGCAGGAGCAAGAGAGAGCAGGGGGAGGTGCCAGAGGGAGAGGTGCCACACACTTTTAAAAAACTAGATCTCCAGAGAACTCACTCGCTATCCAGAGGGCTGCATCAAGGGAATAGTGCCAAACCATTCATGAGAAATCCACTCCCATGATCCAATCACTTCCCACCAGGCTCCACCACCAACACTGGGGATTATGTTTCAACAATGGACACATTTCCAAACTATATCAACTTTATTTACTAAAGGTTAAAAAGAAACCAGCACTTTTGAAAGACTTGCCAGATTCACCTCCATTTTTGTGGTTTCTACACAACTAACCGGCATTCCTTCTTCATAAGAGACCACCGACTACGGACTGGCTCTGGCCAGTTTACAGAGGCTGTGCACGGTATCTGTACAGATCCAAGTATTTGGGATATTAACCTGCCAGCCTCGTATGAGCTTATGCAAACCAACAAAGAAGGTTCCCTTTGCCTTCTCTGTTCCACCTTTTGATGTATAGAGCCTAATTTTAATGCATTTGAATGTTAAGTCTCCACCCCAGGTTGAACATGAAATATATGTAATATGCATACTTGCTTATTATGCATGTTTGCATGTTCTTTGGTGAATATTCATAGCTCCTCCTTTAACCTGTTGTGTAGGTATACTTAGCTGACTCTTTCACCATCAATTCCTGTCTCACCTTGAAGTGTCCACTTGGTGCATACTGGAGGCTATGCTTCCCAACCTGCAGGATGGCCAGCTTGCAGCTACCACCTTTTATAAGAAACAAAGCTCTCATTTCCAAATTTATGAACCACATGATTCTTCAGTTGACAAGGGATGCATTGCCAATCATCCTTGGAAGACTCTCATCCTGGGATAGGAAATGAGAAGTGGATAAGAGTGGGACAGAATCAAGATCATCTTACCTTTCTGTATCATGGACACTGTCCAAGATGGTCTGAGCCAGACATTTTTGAGCAGGGAACTGTCCAAACCAAAGGATGCATCTGCTCCATGAAGAGATATATCTAATAATGGTAATAAGTTACTCTCTGTGTTGTCCTTCCCTTTAATTTCCCTCAAACTTACAGTAAAATTCTATTAAAATTGCAGCAGTGCTGTTACTGTGTGGGGAAGAGCAATGTAGAGAGAGCCATAGACACTGATGGGAGATGGTAATCCCAGCCTTTCAGGCAGTGGTCTATAGCAGGAAAGGGGTTGGGGCAGCAGGTGACAATAGCACCTATTTGTGGAACATTTAATTTTTCTCCAGGGATTCTTGTTCATATGTAGGGGAAGTAACCGGTTAAGAGGAGACTTCCTGAAGTTAAGCAGAATGGGGACTTTAAACCATCACAACTGAAACAGTAAAACCCTTCCAAGACCTCACATTGGAGAGTTAAAATAAAGTTCAAATCATAATCAAAGGCCACAAGGTCCTCTCCATCTTCATCTCAGGTAATTATTTATGTATTATGTTTCAGCCACCATAGCTTCTTTCAGTTTCTTGATCAAGCCACTCTCTCCAGCTCTGGGGACTTAGCCATGCTGTCACCTCTGTGTATGAGGCTTTTCTTTTTTTCTGAACCAGCTCAGATTCATCAAGGCTGGTTTTCTTTTTTCACACTTAAAATCTCAGCTTAACTGACAATTCTTCAAAGTGTTGTCCCTGTTAAATTCAACAGTATTTAAGTGTATTCTCTCTTCTCCTTCTCAGCCTTTTTTTCTCTCATAGCACACTGTTTATGTGATTATAGCACTTCATAATTATAAATATATATTTGTTTGTTAATTATCTATATTTCCTCCAAAATTACAAGATCCATGAAGGCAGGAAATATGACCGTTTAAATAAGTATTCCATAGTGAGGTCCTGACTGCAGTTATTTGGTCATAGTAGGCTTTTAGTACAAAATTTTGAATAAATGAATAGTGTGCTTATTAAGAAAATGTGACTTCATTTTGGTTATCAAACTGGCATGTCCAAGGGACAATTCACTTACATAAAGGTTATTTCCAGAAGCTTTTATAAGTCTCATATCCCCATACATTTCTTCTATCTGCAATTATGTCACACTTTTAAGGGAGACCTGCCTGCCCATTTGCCACATGCCTAGTGGCATATAAAGATAAATGCCATCTTTTCAGCACTTTTGAAACAATTGAGTGAGATTCTTTGTGCTCTACTTCTGTTCTACTCTGGCTCCACTTTTATTTCTTCCTGCTTTCAGTTTTGGGCTTTGCCTATCAACTTTGAATCCACCCGTGACCCCAGTCTTTGTGTTTGCTTTTGACTTTCTCAACTTCAACTTTTAGTACCCTCTAAGGACTTTGGTTTGTACTCAACCTCTGACTGTTTCTATTTCTGTCTCTCTCAGGTTTATTACCTGGGTCGGGACCTGAACTCCAGTGCATCTTGTCTGATCCTTGTTTGATCCCTTATTATATTTATTGCCCAGGCATGGAAGGCCAGACAGGATTTTTGCTCAAGAGTTGTGGTGTTTTCAGAAAGTAGGTATATATCATGATATGTTTCTAGGAGAGTCTGTATTATGATCATAACATCGTGTTCCTCCTCACTCTGCTGCTTTCTTCCTTTCCGTCTTGATCAGTGCTCCAGTTACACTAGATTGTCCCCGCATTTCAGGGCTTCGATAAAGCACCACACTACGGGGGAGGGATTCTGGTGTGCTGAGATATCTCAGGGGACTGGATAATGAAGCCTGAAAGTACAGGAGAGGAAGCTCTCCATGGTAAGATCAATGTGAAATGTGAGACAGAAAGAAGCTAGGCAAAATTCCCCAACTTTCTTACTCCTGGAGGTTACTCCAAGATTCACCTCCTCTTTTCAATCCTGCCTGATGAGTGGACATGCCTGCTGAATGATCTGCTGTGTCTTTTTGTGAAGGAAAAGCATGTGTGATAATGCATCATAGCACATGGCATAATATTCTACACCCCATTTTCCTTGCTTCACTTCCTTTTCTCTCCTACCCATGTTATCCAATGCTTCTACCTCCTGAATAAAGTGGAGACAGTCCTCAACTTATGTGGGGGGGGAGGGGTAGTGTGTCTACTTACAATTTTTCTACCTTACAATGATGTCAAAGTGATACATATTAAGTAGAAAAAATATTTCAGATACCCATCCAGTTACTCTCTTTTCACTTTCCATACAGTATTCGATAATACTGTTGAATGAGATACCTCACACTTTATTATAAAATAGGCTTTGTGTTAGATATTTTTGCCCAACTGTAGGCTAATGTAAGTGTTCTGAGCACTTATAAGGTGAGTGAGGCAACCTGTGATGTTAAATAGGTTAGATGTAACAAATGCATTTTGGACTTGGCGATGTTGTCAGCTTACGATGGGTTTATCAGGACCTAACCCCATTGTAAGTCAAAGAGCATCTGCATTAGCAACTTAATCTTTTTTTTTCCTTCAAGCTTAAATTTTGTCATATGTCCAGAATGGGTCAGCAGAGCAGAAATTCCAGTGAAGAGTAACTAGAACCAATTTATGAAGCTAAGCAGGGGAATAGCAGATCCCGAGTGTGACTTCAAGGAGAATGGTTCAGATATATTTCAAGTAAAGGCTTTTAAATACTTCCATATATATTCCAGTGGGAATTGTGATGAGAGTGTATGATTTAGATATCGACTTCTTAAATAAAATTGAATATTTGAAATAAAGTATGCAAATAAATTCTGGGCAATAGAATTGTCTCATAATTTGGATAGCCAATAATTGAAAGGTTTTAAAAATAAAAATCTCTCTTTTTTTGTTAAACAGGATTTATTTAAAATAAAGCTGTCATACAAGTGCTGGCTATCAACTGTTTATGTTCAGAGACTGCACATTGTACTTTTTGTGAGGGGGAGCCTCGAATTCTTAAAATGTGTTTCTTAAACAGTGCAACTCCAATTTATTAATGAGAATATCAAAGTCTTTGGGTTTTTCTGTATTAGGTAGGAGAAGGATAATGAAAGATTCTTTTTGAAGTCCAAGTTGTGTCATCTAAATAGGTCTCCCCTGAATATGAGTAGATGCATGTCTATTTCTGGTGCAAGCAATGATTGACCACCATTATTCTACTCAAGGTGCCTAAAATACCTATCTATAGAAGCATAATCAAAATAATTGCCCCTGTCCCTAGAGTTCTATGAAAATTAGATAATGTCAGCAAAAGTGCTTTTAGCTGCTACAGTGGTATTATGACCTTTATTCTCCACTTAGAACTAGTCTGAAAATAGTTCCATAATAACCTCTCATTAAAGTTCTTGAGTCTGTATAAAGCCAGTGATATGGAAAGACAGTAGCCATAGACCTATTAAATAACTAATAGGTAGGGTTTAGGGACAGGAAGGAAAAAGAGTACTGCAGAAGGAAGTTAAACTTTTGACACAGAAGTTGGCTAGGCTGTAGTAAAAGTGACTTTTCAAATATATTAGTCTTTCTTTTTTCCTCCTTCCCTTCCTCTGATCCTTCTTTTCTTCCATTCTTCCTGCCCTCTTTTCTTCCATTTGACAAATACTTGTTATGGGTGAAAAGTATATGACTGTTACCAGCCATTGCCCTTTCTTTGCACTTGAAAGGAAATTCTAGGTTGACCTACTCAGTCTCCTACTCTCTTCTGCTCTCTGAGAAGCTTCCTTTCTTGTCAGTTCAGTGCTTTGAGGGTTGAGAATTTAGAATTAGATCAGAGGGGTAAAGGGGAGAATGAGGAGTTCTCTGAGCAAGGTGCTGAGAGAGAGACTTTTTTCTCGGACAGGTTGGAAGTATTAGAAAGATGAAAGTATCTGAGATGAGTAAAGGAAGAGCTAGGAGAGTAAACTATTTTTAAAAAAGAAATTATTCACATGTATCTATTTTAATGGATAAAAAAGTCACGTAAGGGACTTGAGCTATTATAAAATTATATTTTAGAGGATCTGTGTTTCTTGAATTCTTGTAGGTTATTTATTTATTTATTTTTTAACCTAATGTTCTTAAAATGAATTAGATGCCAAGGAAACAAAGTAAAAATATGAATAAGAAAGAGGAACAGGCATCTGAAAAAGGAGGTGCAGACATTGTTAAAGTTGCTGTGATGGATGCATACGGGGTCCTTTGGAGGCAGTGAGGAAGGAATCACCCTTTCTATAGTGATGGGGATAATTAAGGGACCATCACAAGTCTAGTTTTTAAAGTAAAATGCACAAAAATGATTTTTTCCTTGTCAGAAGAAATCACATACAAACACTTCAATAATCTTAATGATTGTGATTAAATTGTTTTACTCCTCTTGCTAATTCAGGGGTTTAGAAAGTACTATATATGAGGCTAAAGTGTAATTTAAAAAACAGTTTGCTTTAAGAATGTTTAATTTTTCCAGTGTCTCACAGCATTTGTGTAGTGTGAAATTATTTAAAAAACAAATCAACTGATTCTGGCCAAAGTCATTTCCTACTGGAATGCGGAGGAGCTGATATCCCTCAGTTCATGGGTAGACTACAGTTTCTTGAGGTGCATTTTAATAAGCAGCTATCAATGGAGGCTGACCTAGAGGAGGTGGGAAATCTAGAAATTTGTCAGGTATATTGTGGTGGAGAGCAAGTTGAACTAGGGAAGTGCTTAGGTAAATTTCTAAGTCATATATTTATAATTTTATGTATGTTTTACACCAGAAGTTATTATTTTAAATTATATCTTTTTGTCTTATCATAAAATGCATTTCCTACACAATTTTTGGACAATAAAGGAAAAATAAATCACTCATAATCCCTACACCACTAGATAGCTCTCCTTTTTTCTTCCTATCTTTGCTACCACATAAAAGGAGCACAGAGTGCAATTAACAGCCGAAAGAATGCCAGGGTTCAGAGTCTCATTCTGTCACTTACTAACCACATGACAAATTACTTTAATTTCTCTATGTCCCCATTTTCTCATCTATAAAATACAGATAGTAATAGTGCCTATCTCTTAGGTTTTGTTTATAAGATTTGCTATGAGGCTTCAATGGGTCAATACATGTAAAGCATTTAGAGTAATACCTGGCTTATTGTACTTGCAGTATAAGTGTTAGTTATTATTATTAGTATTTAGAACACAGACTGTTGAACTAAACTGCCCAAGTGTGAATCCCTGCCCTGCTATATATTAGCAATGTAACTTTAAGTTGTTCAATTTGCCAGTGCCATAGCCTTATTCTTAAAATGGGGGTCAGCAGAGGACCCACCTTTTGGGTTATTGTGAAGGTTGAATGAGTTAATACATGTGGGTCATTTAAAACACGTAAGCACCTAACAGATACTAGCTATATTATTCATTTAAATATATTTTGAGTACTTACAATGTATGAAAAGCTATGCTATATATAAAGAAACAAGATAAAATCTCTCGTATGATATGTACAGACCATTGACAGTCATACCTTCAACAAATGAGTTTTGTGTGTGTGTTGTAATGAGTTTTTATTATTAGGGCTTTTAAAAAAATTTTATTAATGCAATGGAAACATACTAAAAGTATAATAGCATTATGATTCCTCATGTATTCATTACTGAAATTATGTTTTATTTAATTTTTATCATTTTAATTTTTTTATTATTATTTTTAAATAGTGATGGTAGCCTCACTATGTTCCCCTAAATGTAAAAAGATGTGAATGAGAAGGATGGAGAGCTATGATAATATATATCAGAGAAACCTGCTATAGTTGTCCAGGAGTATCTCTTTGAATATGTGAAGATTTCACCTGAACTCTGGGTATGAGTAGCCATTCACAAGGTGAAGGGTGACATGTGTGAATATGTGTGTGTGGCAAGAGGGCAGGGGGTGCATGGCAAAAGAAGATAAGGTTGGAAAGCCATTCCAGGCCACCTGAGCATCAAGGATTATGGAGCATTTGAGGCACTGAAGAAAGTTTCTAGTGTTTGAAGGGAGAGTGATACAGGCTGCTGATGTAAGCAGAGGACTTGTCAAGGAGGGCCTTGAGGGCCTGACTGAGAATGTTAACCTTTTCCAAAGTGTAACAGGGCCATAGTGAAATGTTTTAAGCAGAGGGATGATGTGACCAATGGTGACCTTTTACTGCTAATAATTCTAGCTTTAGCTTTAAGTATATACACATGTATTTGCACATGTATTTTAAGTAAAGCTATGATCATTGTGCAAACAATACTTTCAGTCAGATTTTTAAAATTAAAAATATAACATCTGTCAAAATATAGTTAATGAAGGCTCATCAACTGTAACATACCAGGAGATGTTGATAATGGGAGAAGCTATGCATGTGTCAGGGCGAGAGATATATGAGAAGTCTCTGTAACTTCCTGGCAATTTTGTTGTGAAACCTAAAAGTGCTATAAAAAATAAAGTATTGAAAAATATGTGTGTATACGTATATACACACACACATCTAGCATCACCATTTCTTCCTTTTGCTAATTATTCTTTTTAAATATTTTTAATTACTGCATTGAATTGCATTGTATAGATGAACCATAATTTATTTTAAAAATATTCTGTTAGGCCTGCGCGGTGGCTCACGCCTGTAATCCTAGCACTTTGGGAGGCTGAGGCGGGCGAATTGCCTGAGTTCAGGAGTTCACAATTGGCCTGGGCAATGTGGTGAAACCCCGTTTCTACTAAAATATAAGAAAAAAAAATTAGCTGGGCATGGCGGCATACACCTGTAGTCCCAGCTACTTGGGAGGCTGAGGCAGGAGAATAGCTTGAACCCAGACAGAGGTTACAGTGAGCCGAGATCACACTACTGCACTCCAGCCTGGGTGACAGAGTGAGACTCCGTCTTAAAAAAGAAAAAAATCTGTTGGTGGACATTAGGCTGATTCTACTTTTTTGATATAAAAATGCAGTAATGAACATAATTTGCCCTCTATCTAGGCCTAGTGTCAGATCCTAAACAAACTGTATAGAGTCACCTAAATTTTCCTCACTGAGCAATTATTTGAGATGGGAATTATCTCTTCAAGTTAATTATAATTTGAAGAGCTGATTGGTATAAATGTATTACATAGTATCAGTTCAATATTTGAAACCTTAGTAAACAGGAGAAGGATTTGGGCCTGGGGCAGCATACCAGGACATGCTTTGTTCTGTGCTATTACTTCAAGCTGCTGTACCAGGCCTATATTTTATTTTCAGCTTTTTCCTGGTCAGGCTGCAGCCCAAGTTTAACCTGCTGTCCAATCTCCTATTTTGTGTTACTATCACTTTTGAGGCAAGACTACTGTTTATCTGTTTTGGATAGCTGCTATATAAACCCTATGTCCTTCTATCACCCTTACTTTAACATTTTATTGACCCACAGAAACAAAATAGCGTCCACAAACATTTGATCTCTCTCTGGAGCATGACATTGGCTTTATATGCATAATACCAGGCAGAATTCATTCAAAGGGGGTGTCACTTAGATGACAATATTCCTTAATTTCGGTGGTTAACTAGGTCTTTTTCTATTTCCATTGCTAGTCCTTTCAATGGGGATCTGAGAGAATTTTGTGCTCACAAATCCATCTTCCTCCATTCCCCTAACATAATATTTAAATGTTGCATATAAGAGTTTTAGTGATGGCAATTCAAAATAAAGTCCTTAGTTTTGATGTGAGATCCTTAATTATTGTATGATTATTAGTCAATAAATTGTAAGTTCATTGCTAAATGCAAAAGGGCTGTGTGACCTTGGGCAAATCATGTGTCATTACTGTACTCAAATCTATCAGTGAAGTGTATGATGTGCAGATCACTAATACTATAAGATAATCTAGAAATCTATACACGTTTCATGCTATAAAACCCCCGTCTATCCCAGAATTCTCCCTGTTAGATACAGCCTGGTTTTTTATTTTACTTTGAAAAGCAAATATGACCTTGATCCTCAAACCATTCTTTTTTCTTTTTGTTCTTCTTCTTCTTTTTTTTTTTTTTCTTTTTTTTTTTAACATACATGTACTTAAACATTGTGGAAGTTCTTGGCTAGAAAGAATAATTCATTGCCCTTGAGGGGCTTCAGAACTAGGAGGAGGCATCCAGGTAACAAGACCCAGTATAATTAAGTATGAAAAACTCTGTAACAAATGAAGACCAAATCATCAAGGGAGGTTGTTTTCTTGTCATACAGATATGTACAGTACAGAGGAGGTAATTGCACCTTGATGGTCTCAGTTAACAGACTATATTTAAACAGACTTTAATGGCAGACAGAAAGGCCTTTGAATCACTGGGTCCATCACTAACTCGTATTGGTAAAGTCAGTCTCAATCTCTCAAAGCCTCATTTTTCCTTTTTGGAAAATCAAGGTACTTACCTACTTAGCAGGGCTCTTGTAAGGATTACATATAAATTGAAAGTGCTTAGCTAAGTACCGGCAGACTTCCAAATATAGATTTGAATTCATGCTTACTTGTTCATTCAGTAAATATTTGTTGATTGCCCACTAGGTATTAGAAACAGGGGGATATGATACATAATGTCCTCCTTACAGAGTTTGCATTCTGATGAGATAATCGGATAATTTACAAATAAGCAAATGAATAATCCAAACAATTGCAGGCTGTGATAAGAACGGTAAAGTAAATAAATAAGTTTACATGAGAGAATGTAAGAGAGTGAGCAAGGTAGGGTAGGTAATTTTAGATAGGTTGGCCAAGGAAGGCCTCTGAGAAGACATGGAAGTTAAACTAGTACATGAAAGATGAGAAGAAACAATGCGTAGTAGGAACAAAAGGAAGACCATTTTAGACAGAGAATAGAAAGTTACATAACTTCTCTCTCAATCTCCTTTTTTTTGTTCTTTTTTGTCATCTTTAGGGAGGGGGTCATCACTAATGTTTGAGGAGTGCTTATTCCTGGGGTGTTTTGCTGTATACAACAGACTCAAATATCAAGTATTTTCAGTTGTTAAAAGTAAAATTAACATTTAATGGGTGTTCTTTAGAAGTTTGTTATTGAGATACATTTTTCAAAAAATGGTTTTACAGATAGATCCTGCCATTTTGAGGAAAAATGAAGTAAAGATACTGTAGAGTTTCCCAATCATTTTTATTATTTATCATTTAAAGTTCATGTTTTATAAGGCATTCTCTAACTAGAAATTGCATTTATTAAGTAATAATGATCTTATTTTTCTATTTGTTGTAAATAAAAAGAACCGATGCCAATCAGAGTTTTTGGTTAAGCCTCACTTCTAGTTGAGGAAATTTTAATTGAAGGAAAGATTTTATTTATTTTCTGTATTACTGAGAATAAGCACATAGTTTCATAAGGCTTTTTGTCATATAAAACACAGCTCAAGGACATTTGATTAGTATATTTGAGGACTTTTAAAGCTCTGGAGATTCCACGAGAAGACTCGCTAGTGTTAGAGAACTAGTTAGGCATCTAGAATTAAACTACTGTGATTTTGGCTTTTAAACTTCCCTCAAGATGATCTCTATATACGATTTTAAATAATTCCTTCAAACTACTCTGCATATCAATTATTCATGCTAGACATTCAAGTTTGGGCGTTGGGGGCAGTTTGGCATTTGCCCTAAGATCAGGTCCTTTACCATACATTTTCAGCTGCTGATCTAAATTTGCCTTCTCCCTCAACGAAATTATAAATCATTGAGAGTACAGATCATGTCTATTTTCCTTATCACTGTGTCCCAAACACATTTAATAGGCATTCAAATTTTTTATGGCACATAAAAGTATATCAGCCTCTGGCCTGGTTCCTTTGTGGTAAACTTGAGTCTATGCTTGAGGTCTGCCCAGGACTCACCCTTTTTAAATTTTACTTTCTGAAGGATTTTTTTAAGCACCCTGATGCAAAACAGGTCAAATTGCCTATGCTCTCTGACTCCATTTATCTTGAAGTTTTTCACCACTTTCAGTTAAGTCTAGCTTTCCTCGACCTTCAATGAAACATTTATTATGTGAGCATTTTAATATTTAATATTTTATCTCTCAGTTTTTTTCATGATGCTTTACATATTATTGGAGTTTTATGGGGAAATGAAAAGGTCAAAACAAAGGAGCAGCCTGGTTGATAGCAGGCGACTTGAATAAGATGCTTCTTTTCCTTATCAGCTCCTTAGAAATCCTCTTAACTTCTTAAAGTAGACGTCCCTCTCAAGGCTAAGGAACCCACTTCATCAAATGCACTGTAATATGGGAAAAGCAGAAATATATCCTGGTCTCTTAACCAAACTGACCTCCACTTAACCAAATTGCTGGATTAACACAACCTATTCATTCGTCTGTAAAATGCACTGATGGATGCCCCAGCATGGTAGGCTAATTCCCATTAATACTATTACTATTGTAATTTTATGATATAATATTATATAAACCGATGATAAATGAATGCAAAATAAAAATTATCGATTTGATTAAAATCACATTAAAAGGCTTGGAAAGATTCAATAAAGTCAACTCTCTAAAAAATTAAGCATCTACAACACATTTATAAAACATGGGAAAATACATACAAACCTAGAAAATGTTTGCTTAGCTTGCTTTGAAAATATTTCACTCTCTTTAAATCATGTAGAATTGTAGATGATGAATTATTGATGTAATTTAGCAAAAAATGGCAATGGAATGTCACCATTGGACCAAAGAAACAAATTATAAAACAAAGCAAACTTTGATTTTACATTTAAAAAATATGAAGGAACAAATGAGTATATATGTAGTTTGAGTTAAAATACGTGTATAGCTTTAAAAAATTATTTTAAGTGATTGTTAAATTAACCTGTCTGGGTGGAATAAGAGGGTTCTAGTGTGCCAGTTTCTGGGAATCCAGAGGAGTCCTGGATTAAAAAGAGAATAGTAACCTTTACTTGGAGCTTGTGCTACTAGAACAGTGTTTTTTTCTCATTTAGATTTAGCTAATTTTTTAAAAACTGGATTCCTTAGTTTGTAGTATAGTAAAAATACCAGAAAATTTGTGCTTAGAATATTTAGATTGAAATAATAGCTTTTGGCATGTATAAGTGATATATTAGTCAGGTTTCTTAACTAGATAAAAATCTCCAGTTGTTTCAGCTATAAACTGTAAATAATGACCATATAAAACTCACAGAATTATTGAGAGAATTAAATGAGATTATATATATGCAAGATGTTTCTGAAAATATGATCCATCACAAAAATTTATTACAATATATTTTATATTTTGAAATAATGTTTAGCGCTTACTTAAAATCACTTAGATCTAACTTATCTACTCTCAGTGGTAAGAAGGAAATGAGAAATAAGCTAAAAGATCACACAATGTAATCTTTCCATAAATTTAACTAAGAAATGGAATAACAAAGGCCAACCCAGTGATTCTAAATACCTTTCTGCAAATTATGAAAGTCCTATTTGTACTGTGTTTCTCTAGACTATGCCTGAATTCCCATCTTGGATGGTTATTTAAATTATTGTCTTTGTATTTAGCAAATCTCAGTTCTCTTCTTTGAAGCTGGCCTTCCTAGGCCATTTCTGAATAGTATCTCTATCAATGGGTAGAATCATACCTTTGCTGGGTAATTAATTGACCACATTAGTTAACCAGATGAATTCCAAACCTTTGCTGCCAATCCCTGAGTCGGATCAAAGTTAGGGCATCCATACCACAGTCTGAATAAGCCAATATTTAGTTTTATATTAAGTTACTTCTGATGACCAAGAAACTATTGAAGATAGTTTTGAATCCTTTTGAATCCTTTTTCTTTTTTCTCTGGAAACAAACCGAAGGTTATGTGCTATTTAAAGACTCTGTATCTAAAAAACAATTTGATTGTATAGTCAAGTGATTTATATGTATTTAATCTTGGAATGTGATATTTACAGAAGACAATATGAAGTTTGTTTTCATTGTAATTTTAAGTGTATGTGTTTTAGTAGTAATGTATTTTGGTACTAGGTTAATGAAACTAATGAATACAAAGGACACTCTTAAAATGGAAATCTTTTAAAATTCAGGAGTAATTTTACTCATCAGGCATTTGTGTCATGTACAAAAGCCTTTGATCCTGGATAATAAAAGCATAATATTTTTGTAATCAAGTCAGTAATCCTTTCAAGATGAAAATAAACCTTCTGGCTGGACAAATATGAAAGATAAATATCCTTTAGAATTTATTGGAATTTTGAAAGCATTGCCACGGAAATGTAATTGACAGTACAAGGTTGCTCGTTTCACAAGGTCCTATCACTTTTTATTATATTAGAAATTTATTCATATCGTGGACTTGCCATTGTATATAATGTATACAATTCTGTTATTTCAATTTGTCTTCTATCTAGAGCCAGGATATGGATATGGATACATGACACCCAGTTCTAGCACTGGGCATTGGATAATAACAGTTCAAATCAGGGATCAAGATACCTTGTAGATTTTCATCCTTAAATCAGCGTAGGGACAGTACATGGTCTAGTCAAACCACACTCTTAAAAGTTGGGATCAAGATAAAAAGGTCACTCCCTAAAACACCATAGAGAGGATGTATTTTTGGATCTAGAGATATGGCCTATTCTAGGAAGGGTCATCTAATTTCCTTCTAAGTAAACACTAGCACAGTTGTTTTAGAGCACAGCAGTTCATCTCTAATTTCTAACCTGAGTATCAGTTACAGAGGCCTACTTTCTTTTCTTTCAGAACCCAACTACTTCCTTGGATGAAGAGCTCTACTCCTTAGAGTCTGTTAACCACCAGACCTGGAGTGAAGAGTTCCCATCTTACCAGCGGCCTAAATAATTGATGTTGAAAATATTTATTACCTGAAAAAAATTCCTTCCGGGCTGATGGGGAGTGGTCCTAACTTGTGGCCCGTCAACAGAATTATCCCCAAAGAAAACAGTAGTGTAACTGTTACCATGTTTTCCAAATGTTGAGTTACTTAGACTAAAACAGATCATACTTTTTTATGGTTTTCTCAAGGAGAGTTAGAGGCAAGGCCTGACATTTTTCTGCAGCATTGCAGGTCTCTATTCCGGAACATCTATGGGCAATTTATATTTCTATAAGAACATTCGATGGTCTGCAAAGACAGCACAAAATTAAGATACTGCTATTTCTCCAAAGATAGGTCAGTACAGCCTGTGCTCCTAGAGCCCAGGTAGTGAGGTACCAGACTGGCTTCAGAAGAACACAGAAAAACTTATTAAAACAGATCCATGGGTTTCACAGACAGAAATTCTAGTTTGGTAGGTTTTCTGTGGGACTCAGGAATATGCAGATATATAAATTTAAGGTGCTGCAAGTGGGTTTAAAGCTAGCCAAGTTTGGGAACAACTGAGATGACCTTTTACATTGTCATACAGAGCCAGTTTCACAAATACACTATTTCAGAAGACTGTCACTGGGGATTTTCCTATTACAAATGATTAGGCTGCATCCAAATTGAATTCAAAACTCCTCTGTAAAATACAGCATTTCTCAGTTTGAAGTTTGAATTGATTTTGAGGATGGGTGCTATTATACTTCTTATTCAATTTTTAAATTTTCCAAGACTCTGACTCTAACTTCCCTGTGCTTCTCCTCTTCTCATTTCCCTCTGATTCTCTTAAGAAAATTGTCTTCCAATCACACAGACTAAGAAAAGCAGCTCAAACCTGAGATAACAGTACTTCCTTCCATGTCTTGAATCACGTTATTAGATGTATGTTCTTATAAGAAATGACTGACTTAAACATCAGTGCAATGCACATTTTATTTTCCCCATTGCCACTTTTTAAAAAATGTGTCAAACTTCAAGATTTTATCCTGGTTTTAGCTAATTAAAATTAATGGAATTTGAAAGGTAGGAAATACAAATTTAACAATAAATAAATGGAAAAAAATTACAAAAATTAAATTAGGCAAATTCTATATATTGTTAATAAGCTGAGACATAGATTACTGTTTCAAAGACTACTTTTAGCTTTAAGAAATGTTGTAAGACTAGAAAATGTATGGCCAATATTTACATATACAAGTATTTTCTTTGGATTATTTCAGTATACAAATATGATACTTTTGTTTTCATAAATGGATTGTAATCTGGAATTGGAAAATCTACATTCTAATTTTTGTTCTGCTACAGACTTGCATAGTCTTAGAAACGTCATTAACTTCATTTATTCACTGAACGAACTTTTCAAGTGACTACCATGCATGCCAGACTCTATTCTAGGCATATGAGACAATTTTTTTTCCTTTGTAATACGTATGGATATAATCAGCTTGTATTCAATGTCTCCTTCAGCTTTAAAACAATGAATCTAGGATAAAATATATCCTTTCTCTTCATAAGAATTAATGAGGCAGCTTGGATTTTCTCTGGAGAGCTGAATTGCAATCAGATATTTGAGAAAAGATGTGAAAGCAAGCAATAACTCCCTTAGAATTGCTAAAGGTCCTCTGATGATTGTGACGGAAAATGAGTCAAATGGCATTTGGAGCTTGAGGGAGAGGTTTAGAGAGGAAGGTGCACCCCAGGGTTCACTCTCACACAGAACAACAGCAAATTGCTACGAGTTGTCACAGCACCAAGAGCAGAGCGGCAGCTGCCTTGCAGCACTGAAAATACCTGATACAACACAGTACCTGGAGAAGTAGAGCCAGATTGAGTGAAGCCACACACACACATGCACACACAGACACACATGCGTTCACACACACACACACACACATACTCACGCACACACACGTGAAGTCGGTAAAGTGGGCAAGCCAGGCCAGAGTGATTCTTCTCTTTGGATAATGCCTAGGGCTTCTAGAAGGGACCCCTTCTGAAGTGTGGAGGTCTCATTTGTCATTAGCAACCACTTCTTCAGCTATACTTTTCAGGACTCCAGTGACTGTCCTTCCGGGGTAGATTGTCATTCAGTAATATGCCATGTAGTCAGAGAACCCTTTGCTTCTCATCTGAGGGTGGGTCCAGGGCTCTCTTACTGATGAGAGAGGCCCTATTTGTATACTTGGAGCTGTGACATTTCAGAAGGCACTGGAGCCACATTTTCATGAGTCTTGGGCAGTAATCAGTGCATGATCAAGGTCGGTGCTACAGATGTGCAGCTTATGAATCATGCATCTTTAACCCCTGGGTGAGCTATTTCATAGTTACTTCAAACTCAAATTAACAATAGGAGTATTATGGTAAGGGGGGATTTACATATATTTCAAAGATCTGAGTCATCATTTAACCAGAGACCTGAAAGATTCAAAAGAGATAGGCATAGCATTTGAAGGGAGATTATCTCGGGGAATGTCAAGGGCCAATGGCATGAGGCAGGACCAGACTTGGATGGTCAAAGAGCAGAAAGACTGCCTTGTGGATAGAGTCAGTGAGCATGGAGGAGTGAAGTACAAGATGAGTGTGGGAGGATGGATGAGTCTGTTAGCAACGACGATGGAGTAAAGTGGACACACTTATAATACATAGGAAGAATATTTATGGGTTATAGTTGGTGAAGAAAAGAGAAAAAAATGCTGGTACCTAGGTTATTGGCTTGACCAGCTGGGTAGATGGCAGTAAAATTTAATGAACTAAGGGAAAATAGAAAAAAAAAACAAGCTAAGGAGGTGGAAACCAAGATTTTCTTTTGGACTATTATCAGAAAATTAAATCTATGGAAGAGACTAAAGTCTCAAAATCATTACAAATATGAATAGGAAATTAAGAAATAACAAATATATGATTTCAATAATGTAGAAAGAGGATGACTTAGATAATATGAAATATCTATATAATTGATTAATCATAAATAAATTAGCTAGAGTCCTGCCTCGTGTCACATACAAGTCAACTCCAGATGAATTAACAACTTAACAATTAGTTTTGGGACAACTAGATATCTTTATGGAAAAAGAATCTTAATCGTTATCTCATATCGTATAAAATAATTAACTCAAAATGGATCAAAGACCTAAACATAATATCTAAAACTATTAAATATTTAGAAGAAAACATAAAATCTTTTTGACATTGGAAATAGACAAAGGTTTCTTATACATGACCTAAAAGGCAAAAATGGAAAATTGATAAAATGCCTTCATCAAAATTAAAAGCCTTTGCCAGTTGAAAGACACAGTTAAGAAAATGAAAAGACTAGCTGCAAATTGCAAAAAAAAAATTATTTGCAAAGCATATTTCCAACAGAGGACTTGAATCCAGAATATATAGAGCAGTGGTCTCTGACCTTTTTGGCACCAGGCACCAAGGACTGGTTTCATGGAAGACAGTTTTTCCATGGACTGAGGGTTGGGAAGATGGTTTTGGGATGATTCAAGTGAATTGCAGTTACTGTGCACTTGATCATTAAAAGTAATGGCAAAAACTGAAATTACTTTTGGACCAACCTAATATTACATTGTAGTATATAATGAAATAATTATATAATTCACCATAATGTAGAATCAGTGGGAGCCCTGAGCTTGTTTTCCTGCAACTCGAAGGTCCCATCTGAGGGTGGTGGGAGACAGTGACAGATCATCAGGCATTAGAGTCTTGTGAGGAGTATGCAATCTAGATCCCTTGCATGCGTGGTTCGCAATAGGGTTCATGATCCTATAAGACTCTAATGCTGCTACTGATCTGACAGGAGATGAAGCTCAGACATTAATGCTCGCTAGCCCACTGCCGCTCACCTCCTGCTGTGTGACCTGGTTTCTAAAGGGCCACGGACTGGTACCAATCCATGGCCTGGGGTTAGGGGACCCAGATCTAGAGTATGTGCAACTTAATAAGAAAAACAACCAAATTTTTAAAAAGGGAAATAATTAAATATTTCACCTATGAATGGCAAATCTAAGCACGTGAAGAGATGCTTAAGATCACTTGTCTTCATTAAATTCAAATCAAAACCACAATGACAAAACACTGTACACCATTTAAGTGGCTAAAATTAAAAAGTATAATAATATCAAGTCCTGGAGAGAATGTGGAGTAACTGGAAATTCTATAATTTGTTAGAAATGCAAAATGTTACAACCATTGAAAGACAGTATGACAGTGTTTTATAAAGTTAAACATACGCTTACCACAAAACCTAGAAATCTCACTTCTAGATATTTACTCAAGAGAAATAAAAACTATAAGTTCATACAAAGACTTTTATTCAGATGTTCATAATATTACACATAATAACCAAAAACTAGAAGCAACTGTAATATTCATTAACTGATAGATGAATAATCCAGTTGTAGGTTTTCCACACTATGGAATACTATTTGACAATAAAAATAAATTAAATATTAATATATTTGAAACTACAGATGCTTCTCAAATATGTAAATTAAAGAAAACAAACACAAAAGACCACACTTTCTATGAATCCATTAATATAAAATTCTAGGAAAGGCAAAGCTATAGTGACAGACAGCAGATCAGTAGTTGCCTGGGATCAAGGGTCAAGAGAGGTCATCGATTGTGAAGTGGTAGAAGAAAACATTTGAGGATGATGGATTTGTTCAATATCTTGAGTTTTGTTGAGGTTATGTGACCATGCACCATACAAAATTCATCAAACTGTATGCTTAAAATGAGTGAACTATATTGTATGTAAATTATACCTTGACAAAGCTGAAAACTGAATAAAAACAAAACATTAGGAGAAAATCTAGGGGACTCTGTAACCTCAGGAAGGGAGCAGCTTTCAAAATAACAGAATAAAAGACAGGCATATTTGACTACATAAAAGTTTAAAAAATATATTACAGTATGAGGTTGACAGGAAATAATAAGCTGCAAAAGAATGCTTGCGGCCGTGTGCAGCGGCTCATGACTGTAATTCCAGCACTTTGGGAGGCTGAGGTGGGTGGATCACTTGAGGTCAGGAGTTCGAGACCAGCCTGGCCAACATGGTGAAACCCCATCTCTACTAAATATACAAAAATGAGCCGGCCATTGTAGCACATGCCTGTAGACCCAGCTACTAGAGAGGGTGAGGCAGAAGAATAGCTTCAACGTGGGAGACAGAGGTTGCAGTGAGCTGAGAACATGCCACTGCACTCCAGCCAGGGCGACAGAGTGAGACTCTGTCTCAAAAAAAAAAAAAAAAAAAAGGAATGCTTGTTGCAACATATATAAGTTGGCAAAGGATAAATATCTCTAATTAGTAATAAGGTCTTTTACATTGTTTTACATGAAAAAAACAACCTTATTAAAAAAAAATAGCCAGAGTGTCCAAAGGCTAGGAAGAGAAGACAATGCCCAAATGGTCCATAAATATGGGGAAAAAATGCCCATCTTACTAGTCGTGAGGAAAATGAATATTAAAGTAAATGAGGCCATTTTTATCCATTAGACCAGTAAAAATTAAAAAGAGCAATTATAGCAACATCAATGAGAACACAGGAAAATGGATCATTTTATAACACTGCTGGTGACAGTGTGAATTCCTAAAACTTCTGGGGAAATTCATCTGGAAATATTTGATAAAATTAGAATGTACATATCATTCAATTCAGCAATATCACTTTTGGGACTCTAGCTTCTAGAAATAAAAGCACCAATACATGAGAATATATTAATATGTACAATAATATGTACGGAAAAATTGCTGGAAGGTGAAAAAAGAAAAAACTAGAAACCATTTGAGTGAGGAAATGGTTGAATAAATTGTGATACATATATACTATAAATTACCATATAGGTATATAAAAATAAGTTACAGATTTATTAACTACAAGTGATCCCATGATGCATTTTAAATAAGAAAACCAAGTAGAATTATATGGTTTTATCTTTGTAAAACCTACGCAACCAAAAAACCTACACAGGTATGACTATTATGTCTGAGCTCTGCCTGATTTGTGAAAAGATATGAGCAGATTGTTAATGTTGCTAACCTCAGGGGATGGGGACGAGGGCAGGGAAAGATGATTAACTTTTTATTTATACATCTTTGTATGTCATTATCTTTGCATTTACATTAGTGAGTCCAATAGGGAAGTATTGCTTTTGAAAAATTATAATTCAAAAAGTAATAAAGAAAATTCTTAAAAAATGCATAACATATTCTTCAATTTTAAAACACTACCTATGTGAGATGACTACCAGTTTGGATAAAAGTTTTGCAGAAAAATAAGGCAGCACCGCCATACATATACATTTTGATTGGAAGGTACATTTCTATTTCATAAATATTACAGAAATGAAAACAAAGTTCAGCTTAGTGTGACAAGAGGTTTTCAGAAAAAAAATTAGTTCTATCTCCTTTACCCCACTTCTCTTTCCCTTCCTGAGAAGGAGGATAGATCTCTTAACTACTTTGTATTTCCTCACTTGGGGACACACACACACACACACACACACACACACACACACACACAGCATCATCCCCAATCCTCAGCTTAATGGCTTTTTGCATAGTTAAAACAATGTTAAATGTGATTGTGGTGAAGCAAATTTGGAGGTTCAGACACAGATACGTTTCTCTGGTTAAGAAAGGGAGTAATGGGGCCGGGTGTGGTGGCTCACGCCTGTGATCCCAGCATTTTGGGAGACCGAGGCTGGTGAATCACCTGAGGTCAGGAGTTCGAGACCAGCCTGGCCAACATGGCGAAACCCCGTCTCTACTAAAAATACAAAAATTAGCTGGGCATGGTGGTAGGCGCCTGTAATCCCAGCTACTCGGGAGGCTGAAGCAGAAGAATTATTTGAACCCAGGAGGTGGAGGTTACAGTGAGCCAAGACCATGCCATTGCATTCCTTCTAGCCTGGGTGAGAAGAGTAGAACTCTGTCTCTAAATAAAGAAAGAAAAGAAAGGGAGTAATGGAGAGGGGATAACAGTCAGGGAGGGTGGAGGAAGGCTGGGAAAGATAGAAGGTTGAAGAGAAGAACAAGATTTGGAAGTCAGTGGGAAAGAAAACAGTCTTAGTAAAAGATGTTTGATGAAGGTTACTTACAATGAGGCAAAAATGCTGTTTTGTCACACATTCGTCCACATCTGTGTCTTCTATGTAATCTCTAGTAAAGCTTATGTAGCTCACTAATGATTTGGGAAGCGATCTGCTTCTTAGAAATGAGTCTTGTGTAGGGTGAAATCTGAGGCTGGCCCGGGCACATCTCGGTTATAAGAGAATTCAGGAGACATTGGCCTTACTGCTCCCATATATATGTATTTTTTAATTGAGGTAATGGGAACTTTCAGATAAATCCTGGACCCTTAGTCTACAAAGTCATACAAATTCAATGCACAAATAATTATAACATGAAGAATTATATGCAGAATTTAAATAGTGGATTAAGGCAGGAAGTGGGAGGAAGAAATTACAAACACTCAAATATAGTAATCAGTCTTGGCTCCCAAATTGAATTTCAAAGGCTAAAAATGCAATTGAGTAATTTAAGGAATTTCTGTTTCCACTGATCTCTCTCATTTAATGAGGCAACGACCACAGTTGCTAAACAAAACCCATCTGAAGCTAGTTAGACCACATTTCCTAAGACTCCAGTAATAAACATTGGTCAAAATAATGATAAACTTGCCTATTCCTGATTATATTTTCAGTGACCTAAATTGATCATTAAATTATTGCTTTCCTTTTATTTTTCAAATAACTCTAATCATTAAAGCAATATACATCCATTGTAGAAGATGAGAAATTGCAAAATATGCCAGAATGCCAAAAGGAAGAAAAAATTTTTGGTCTATTTTATTCATCTTTTTTGTATGCATAAAAGTATGATTCCATTTAAAGTTATTATAATGAAAAATATTAAGTGTAATATTTTTTACTAAATAGAAATATATTCATTTTATAAATGATTATTAAGTACTTACTATGGTAACAGAAGAAAATTCAAGATCAGAAATAAGCGTTCAGATGAGGAGAAACTTTGTCAATATAGATCACACCAATCAAAGGGTAAATTATTTATGCTTATTCATTCTCCATGCACCACTGAATAAAAAAAATTGTATTTATGGGCAGCTAATTATTTTCATTTGCATTTGATATTTCCTTAGAGTGGAGGTGAGGATGGGAAAGGAATGTATTATAAAATGCTTAATGTTTGGAGGCTGTAACTTTCCATTTATTTTATTTTGTGTATTTAGCCCTGCATTACTGCCTTCTAAATTCAGTCTGTAGTTATTCAGCAAAACGAAGTCCTGCAATTTTTAAATTTCATTTTTTTAAGCTTGCAACATTTTAATATACTTAATTGTGCAAATATATTTGCCGATTGGCAGATTGACAATGATTATAAGGCAAATGCATGTGTAATCACCTCTCAGATGAAGAAATAGAATGCAAGGGACATGCTAAGCCATGCTCAGAACCTTTGCTTCCCATCCTTTCCAACTCCCCGCTCCATGTATAAACACTGTATTGACTTTTGAGCTCATGTTTTTTTTTCTGTCTTTTCATGTAAACATATGACCTGTGTAGCTATTCTTCAACAAGGTAGCTGCTTCCAAATTTTATATAAATAGAATATATAAAAATAGCAATTATTTTGCTTCCTGTATATTTAGCTTAATATAGAGTTTTTATATTCTATATAAAATTATGTTCTATATTAAGCTAAATATATATTTGTAATATATAGCATATAGTATATAATTTTATATAGAATGCAATTTTATATAGAATAGAAAATATAGCATATAATTTTATATAGAAGATTTAGCTTAATATAGAATATAGCAATTGTTTCCTGCATATATAGCTTAATATTATATTCCTTAAGATTCATCCATATTGTAGTGTATGTCTATATATCTTATACTTTTTTTGCCATATAGAATTCTATTGTATTGATATATGCCAATTTATTTATCCATCCTTATACATGCACATGAATTGTTTTCAGTTTTTATCCAAAACAAACTATGTAGCTGTGAACATTCTTATGAGCACATATCCTTGGCATATATGTACATTTCTCTAATACCTAGATGTGAAATTTCTGGGTCTAAAGAATGCACGTCTTTCATCTTTTGGAATGTGACACAAATGGTTTTCCAAAGTCATTATATTTGTTTATACTCCCACTAACAGTATATCTGATTTATGATCCAATGTTAGTAACAGTTTTATCAGATGTTCTTATTTTTAGCCAGTCTGCATAATAGTATATAATTGCGATTTTATTTTGCATTTCTCTGATTGCCAAGGGGTCTGATTACTTTTCATAGATTTATTTTTCATTTTTTTTTCTTCTTTCATGCCTGCTCAAGTCTTTGATTCATTTTCCTAATGAATTGTCTGTACTTTCCTTATTGATTTTTGTAATTAATTTTTTTATTAAGAGATTATTGTAGATTCACATGCACTTGTAAGAAATAATACAGAATGATCCCATTTACACTTTACACAAAAAGGGGTCCCCGACTTTTTGGCACCAGGGACTGGTTACATGGAAGACAGTTTTTTCATGGGGGTTGGGAGAAGGGGGATGGTTTTCGGATGAAACTGTTGCACTTTAGATTATCAGACATTAGAATCTCATTAGGAGCTTGCAACCTAGGCCCTTCACATGCCCAGTTCACAACAGATTTCCTGTTCCTATGAAAATCTAATGCTGCTGCTAATCTGACAGGAGGTGGAGCTCAGCAGGTAATGCTGGTTCCTCTGCCACTCATCTACTGTGTGGCCTGGTCCCTAACAGGCCACAGACTAGTACCAGTCAGCAGCTCTGGGCACTGGGGACTCCTGCTTCAGCCAGTTTCCTCCAATTGTAGCAGCTTGCATAATTATTGTATAATATCACAATCAGGAAATTGACATTGGTAAAACCCAATTGTATTAGGATTTCCCATTTTGTATGTACCTGTAGTATGTATACGTGTACCTATGTGTGTGTGTGAGTGAGATTAGTTCTGTGCAGTTTTATCACTTGCGTAAGTTTGTGTATTCACCACCCTGGTCAAGATACTGAACAATTTCATTGCCACAAGGACCTTCCCTATTATCGCCCATTTATAACCACAGCCATCTTTCTCACTCACCTCCCCCTACCTGCCCTGAAAACTACTAATCTGTTCTGTCTGTATAATTTTGTCATTTCAAGAATGTTTTATAAATGGAATAATGCAGCATGAAACCTTTTGAGATTGGCTTTTTTTCTACTTGGATGAATTCCATGGAGATTCCTCTAAGTTGTCTATTTATTAAGCAAAGTACCCTCAGGGCTGTGGTAATCTTTTCTGAATTTTCTCCTTGGTGATTCACCATTACGTTTTTCCCAATACTGTCACTAGTAACTATTGCATGTTTATGTACATTGTGTTCAGTGAGTTCATTTTTATATTTTTTTGCCTAAGTCACAACACTGTGAAATGTTGCCACATGTATGTATATCACTTTCTGTTAGTACCCTGGAAGACTGAGATTCTGATTTGGCTTTAGTGAATTTGCTTTAAGGCAAGGTCATTCAAATATTCTTTGGAAATAACGTTTGAAAAAAAAATACCTCAAAATGGGATAAGCCTACATGACTAAAATAACCACTATTCGAAAATATGTTTTTTTAAAACTTTCTATTTCTTTCTCAAATATTTCAATTTCTTTAACTATAGTTTTCAATTCATTGCCTTGCTTTGAACATAGATTTCCTGATTTTTATTTTTATTTTCTTCCTCAATTGCTATCTTATTTCTTTGGAATACCTATGAGTAAAACAATAGTAATAGTACACATTTATTCCCTAAAATTATCTAGGTCTTAAGTTCTGCATGAATGGCAGAAATATTATGTTTTCATTGCTTTTGTTTTTTAGCTCGCTAAGATATCTCCAACTTGTTTCTCAGGTTCTGGAATAAGCAGAATGCCTGACATTCCATTCAGGTTCATTGATAAAGTGAATAAAATTTTTAGATTTAGTGCTTATTGTTGAACTAGAAGCCAGAGTTGCAAAAACAAAGGATGTATTAACACAGTGCTGCTTCTTGTTATTGATGACTTAACATTCATCTGCAGATCTCTAAAACCAATGATAGAAAATTGAAATGGAGCATAAAAGAAACAACCCAAAATCCTTTAAGCAAACATAAATACTCGCTTTTAAAACTTCAAGAGAACAAAAGTACTTATTAGCCTCCTGATTTAAAAGTCTAATTTCCCTTTTATCATATCTGTGCACTTACACATAAACACACCATTCGTCACAGGGTCCTCAAAGTTACTTTGGGAAGTTAGGTAGGGAATTGGAGACAGAATTCCTTTAGTGCATTCTTTTTTTATTTTATTTTATTTTATTATTATTATACTTTAAGTTTTAGGGTACATGTGCACATTGTGCAGGTTAGTTACATATGTATACATGTGCCATGCTGGTGTGCTGCACCCATTAACTCGTCATTTAGCATTAGGTATATCTCCTAATGCTATCCCTCCCTCCTCCCCCCACCCCACAACAGTCCCCAGAGTGTGATGTTCCCCTTCCTGTGTCCATGTGATCTCATTGTTCAATTCCCACCTGTGAGTGAGAACATGCGGTGTTTGGTTTTTTGTCCTTGCAGTAGTTTACTGAGAATGCTGATTTCCAGTTTCATCCATGTCCCTACAAAGGACATGAACTCTTCATTTTTTATGGCTGCATAGTATTCCATTGTGTATATGTGCCACATTTTCTTAATCCAGTCTATCATTGTTGGACATTTGGCTTGGTTCCAAGTCTTTGCTATTGTGAATAGTGCCGCAATAAACATATGTGTGCATGTGTCTTTATAGCAGCATGGTTGATAGTCGTTTGGGTATATACCCAGTAATGGGATGGCTGGGTCAAATGGTATTTCTAGTTCTAGATCCCTGAGGAATCGCCACACTGACTTCTACAGTGGTTGAACTAGTTTACAGAACAGGCAACCTTTAGTGCATTCTAATGAGCTAACAGCTGTGACACATAGATTATTGACTGCCAGAGCTTGAAGGCACCCTAGAAATCATCTTCTTAATCCCTTTAATTGTAAAGATGAGAAAAAAGGATGAGATTGAAGAAAAGTTGTTGACTTACCCAAAGATACTCTTCTTTGTAGTGGCAGGACCAAGTTCAGATCCCAGATGGATTAAGCCATGTTAGGATTAATGTATTTGACACAAATCATGGAATGCTAATCTAAAAAATACTTTGCCTTCTAACTCAGCCAATTAGTGTTGGTCACCCACTCTGCATCAGGCAATGCACTGAGCACTGTGTATAGACGTCAATAATGCACTGCTTATGAAGATGTGAATAAGACAAGGTCTTACCCGCCGTGAAACTTGCCAGTTTCTGGGGATTTAGACAAGTACAAGATGCATTACTATAGACTGTGTTAAGTGCTACAACACAGACATGCACAAAATGCTGAGAAATCACTCTGGAGGGACTCACAAAGAGTTTATTGTAATGCATTTGTCATGTCTCTCCAAGTCGCTGAACATATCTTTCAAGAAAACTGTGGTGAGAAGGGATATGTGTTTCAAGAAAGCTGTGGTGAGAAGGGATATGTCACATAACCTACTCTGAACTTGACAGAAATGACCTGATTCTCCAAGGTATTTCTAGTTCCATTGTGGTATATAGACCTATGAGTTAGTGATTCCTTTTGGTTTTATTGTTTAAAAACCACTGAAATAATAGTTTTCTAAAAATAAGCCTTGCTGTGGATCCAGAGATGCACAACTATTTGGATGTTCGACAAAAGAAGAATTACAGAAAAAAGTACATTTTGTCTTTATAGGATGGCAAGAAGAGGATTCTCACATACATCTGGGAGTTGTTTTTCAGTTTACCTCCCCTATCGGTAATGTCTCATACCTTTAACTTCTCCGTGACATTTTTGCCAGAGCACAGCTCACGTAAGAGAACTGTGGCCCTACTCTGTTAGCCTCCTTTCCCTGTCTCCTCTTTCTTTCCACAAAAATGCAAACAAATAGAATCAGGCATACTTCTTCTCAGTTTTCTTTATTAATCACATTGCAAGACATTCATTCTTGCACTTTCACATTTCTTCCTTTTATTTTCCAGTTGTAGCTGTTTTTAGAGCCTCACGTCAGATGCCTTCAGCCCACCTCTCGTACCAGCGCCAACAGTTCCTAAGCACCCTGACAGCATACCATCTCAGTCTTCTGCTGCATCTCTTTTCACAGCCAAAGAAGATTGTACAGCTCCTATACAGGCAGCCATGAAGTGCAGGGAAGTCCATGCCTCCAGGCAAATCCTTAACCAGTGGGATAATTTAATACCTCAGCTTCTTGGTTTTTGTTGAGAAGATTCCAAGAGGCATTCCACATACCACCTCAGATTTATTGAGCACTCATTGCCCATAGGAATAAGCAGTTCAATAAGGGTCCTGCTATTGTCTTCTTTTTAACTACCTATAACTCTTGCTCACTCATTACTGGTGATCTGTGTCATCACCTCCCAAATTAACTAACTATGCCCAAATCCTTATTTCAGCTTTGTTGTTAGGGGCTCAAGATGCTTCAAAATTCTAAACTTTTTTTTTTCTAAATATCATCTATACTCTTGTTCAATATGTGATCATGATTGTGTTGATAATAGGATGATGTTTGTTCTGGGACAAAGCCATTGAAATGTGCTATATATAAAACCACTTAAAATAGTTTCATGTTCGTAATTTGTTAACCTGTACATTAAAAACAGTGGCACTAAATCATTCAGTGATGTAAATGGAACAAGCTAGTAGGGCAAGATGACCAAGAAAATTGTGTAAACTGAGCTAGAACACAGATTTCTGCACTAAATTTTGCTTCTCCAAGATGTAACTGAAGGCAAGTCCCTCCATTAGCTGCTTGCAGAGTCCAATGACAAGAGCAAGGTATGGTAGAAAGAAAGTGACTTTATTGACCAAAACTAGTAATGCCGAAATGGCCAGATTCCCATCCAAAGTAACCACTTTGAATTTCTGGGGAGATGGCAAGAGTGTGAAAAGGGGAACTTGATCTAAGTTGCATGCAGGAATTGCGCTGAGTACAAGGTCTGTGTCTCCTTTCGGTGGCTGTAGGTTCTCAGTCCACCTGGAACACAGGCTGGTGTCATCTCAACAATGGCTGGGTTGTAACTAGACACTTTGAGGTAATCTCTGGAATTTTGCAGCTGGATCTCAAGACTTGGTCTGTCTGTCTCAAGATTAGCCCCTGGAACTTCTAAGTAAGTGCATACTTAGCTACTAGCATAAAGTTAGATAAATGTAAAGGGAGTATGATGGGAAAGGGAGGGACATGGAGTCTATTTTAAGTTTAAGGGAACAAAGCTTCTGCAGTTGGCTTCAAAGTTTTTTCTTGTGACTAGGGAGCAAAAAGAAAAAAGAGGGTTTAGAAATGCATTTTGAAGTCAAGCTGCTTGGTTACAAAAGGACTATGTTAGAGAGAGCATGTGCCATGTTTGCAGCAGGTCTACTTGTATTACTGCTCAAACAGTTTTTTGCTTCCATGTATTTGTTAAGGAACTGTCAGTTTTAGGTGAAAGCTTTATTATTATTTTTCCCCTAATTGTAAAGGTAATACACATCCATTGTAGAAAATACAGGATAGCCAGAGAAAATCACAAAGAAGAAAGTTACAACTATATATAATTCCATATCCCAGAATTAACCACTATTGATATTTTACTAAATATCAAATTAAAACCTTTCAGTTTTAAGAATATATATAGAGAAAAATAGCAAATGTGGGGAGAAGGTGAGAGAAGGAAAAGGCTTTATTTCTAGTTTTCTGCCCTACTTTTTCTCATCTTCGGCATTTTATGTCATTAAGAAAGCATGTTTTACTAAGAACCTTTTAAAAGCTCACAATTTAATCTTAATATTAAATTGTCAATTTTTCTATTATTACAATAACATTGGGACAAATGTATTTTGTATATTAATATTAAAAGCTATGGTATGTCCCCTATATAGAGCCTCGGAGATGGGATAAATGGTTAAAAATCATGTATATATATCATGGCCTCAATGCTTATTATCAGATTGTTCAATATGTTTTATAATTTACATTTCCTCGCAGGACCACCTACATGGGCGTGTGATGTACAGTTGCACAGGAACCCATGCTTAGAGGGTCCCATGCTTAGTTTAATGTTTCTTGTTCTTGCCATTTTGAAATTCTTAATGATTTTGAAAAATTTTGCCCTGGACCCCATAAATGATTTACCTGGCCCTGGTTGAATGCGAAAACTAGAAGAATAAAATAACATCAAGTTAAGAGTATTTTGTAATGGGAGATATGGAAAGGTATGTGAAAGCAATGATTCAAATGGAAATCTCGTTTTTTCTAATATCTTTTCCTTTATTCTCTATTTCTCATTGGATATTGTGTATATAAATCTAGGCAATATTTTCTGGTTGCATATTCCATGGGGAAGGTGAAACTTTTAGCTAAGGAGGTTTATTTAACAGCTGAAGTGGGTATGACTCTGATCACATAAAATTCAGCCATTTCTTGCCTTGGCTGCTTTTGCCTTTATATGGGAATATGTCACTAGTTCAACTGGTTGAGTCTCACTGGTTGATCCTAGGCTAACAGTTAATTCAGTTTTATTAGATGGAAAATGATATTCATCTCCATATGTACCACTTTGTCTTGAAAAGTAATATTGAGAATGGCAAATTTAGAACACAAAAGGTGGAGGGGGATATAAGACAACAATATGGCCAAAACATCATTATAATAAGGACAAATTGAGAAATATTTATATAACTATATTCATCCATATCCATATTTATGTCTTTTTGTTGTTATTTTAATGTACTAATGATTTTACAGTAGTTTTCGTAAGCTTTGTTTATCTTTAAGTCTATTTGTCTGTTTTATCAGAAGCACTTGAAGCTATTTTCCTAATTTTACTTTAGCTAGTAAAGCCTGCTCTCATTATTGACAATGTTTTAGAATTTTAATAATTTATGTGAAGGGCAAATTAGTCACATTTTAAGCTAGTGCTTCAATTGAATTGATTATTGGTTCTCTTCAATCATTTCACAGTTTTTTCACCACTTCATGCCCTGCACAAAACAAGCTACATAGCAGTCCTTTTTTTGTTTGTCATTTTATAATTAGTATTTATCAGGATTTTACATTGCAAGTTCTAGAACCTAAATTATAATCCTAAACTGAAAGCAGGTAATGTAATCGCTAATAGAAAGATTTAAACTTGGCCCTTGTATCTTATACGTTCATATATTGTAAGGGTTATGGTGTGTTCATGCAAGAACAACCCTACCAAGGAAGGGATGCTGGCAGATAAAACATCATGCCTACTTTACTGGGCAATCCAAGGCCAGCGTGGTTTTTTTCCAGGAATCTGCACTGAGGTTATATTTGCTTTTTACTGTGGGTCCAAGTCTTAACAGCACAAACATATCAAATAGTGATGCTATCCTATCTTGGAATAACAACAATTGCTTCATGTAAAAACTGCTTAAATATAAAGTAAACATAAAAATAACTTTAAAATATGACTCAATATGTAAAGTTGGCCTTGGTATTTGCAAATGAATTTAAAATTCATAAAATCAAATGAACTTAGAAAGTGGACAATATTTACTGATTTGACAAAATTACTTCAGAGCACATAAAGTTTAAAGGTATCACTGTTTTCTGAGAAAACGTCAACCAATTTATTTAAGGATAATTGACACATAAAATCAAATTCATTTAAAAACTTCTAATCAAACAACAAAAACAGTTATGGCTAAAATATATTCAATATTATTTAGAAATTTGAAGCAAGTAGAAACCTCCTAAAATTCTAAAAATGGGAAAAATGTTTAAAATTATAGAAGCTATTGCACAACTGTCTCATGTTACTTTAAAATTGCACTTACATAAAAACCAGTGATGGGGAAAATTTGTTTTTAACCAACTCAACATTTTGACCAGTTTTGTTTCAACTACTCCATTTGCAGTCATTGAACAGAAGCACAAAGCTTAAAATTGGAGAATGGTAGTGATAATGTACATTAAAAATTTCCAGAGTAACAAAAACCTTCATCTACATTAGTTTTTCGCTATCACATTTTGATGATATAATACAATTCTCTACTTATTACAAACTTTCTTTTTATTCACCCTGTTTATGGTTATTGTAATTATAGTTCCCTTTGTCTCTATAATTCTTCATAGAAAGTTCATGTATGTATCATTCAGGTCACATTATTTGTGGTGATATATATATGGACTATAATCCAAATACAGTCTTCTCATGGGTAGAGAAGCTGAGCATGTTCCTATCATTCTATCTTGGTATAGTGTATTTCTCTCTCTACCCTCCAGCTTCATTATAGTCTTCAGAGAAAAAATTTAAAAGGCTGTGCCAAAATAAAGTTGACTCCTACATAATTTCAAAGACTGACATTGATTTTTCAAATTTCTTAAGCTCATATTATTTTAAAAATACCCAAACTGTAATCCAAAACTAAAAGCAGGTAATGTAGTGGCTAACGGAAAGATTTATGCTTGGCTCTGAAATTGATTTCAGGACCTCTGCAGATACCAAAATCTGAAGTTGTTGAAGTTGCTTATAAAAAAAATTGCGGCCGGGCGCGGTGGCTCACGCCTGTAATCCCAGCACTTTGGGAGGCCGAGGCGGGTGGATCATGAGGTCAGGAGATCGAGACCATCCTGGCTAACAAGGTGAAACCCCGTCTCTACTAAAAATACAAAAAATTAGCCGGGCGCGGTGGCGGGCGCCTGTAGTCCCAGCTACTCGGGAGGCTGAGGCAGGAGAATGGCGTGAACCCGGGAGGCGGAGCTTGCAGTGAGCCGAGATTGCGCCACTGCAGTCCGCAGTCCGGCCTGGGCGACAGAGCGAGACTCCGTCTCAAAAAAAAAAAAAAAAAAAAAAAATTGCATAGCATTTACATATAACTTACACACACCTCTTATATACTTTAAATCATCTTTAGATTACTTATAATGCAATGTATAATATTTAATACAATGTAAACAATAAGTAAATAGTTGTTACATTTATTGCTTAAAAATTTGTATTATTTTATATCTTTTTTTTTCTTTTCAAATATTTTTGATTGATGGCTAGCTGAATCTTTGGATGTGGAGCCAACAGATACGAAACTTAAAGATGTGAAGGGCCAACTGTATTTTCAGAATGTAGGTTTGTGCTTCTGGAAATATGGTATAGTGTACTTTTCTCTGTTCCTCTCCTGAAGTACTGTACTGTTAAGAACTCTAGACAATATATATGAAACCAATGTGAAAAGACTCTAACAGGTGGAGAGAAAGTGGCAGATGGTCTGGTGATATTGAGACCTAAAGCAAAAAGCAGTGGTGAGTTCCCTGAGCTTTATTTTGGTCTTATACATGGTAGACTTAGAGCTGAAAAAGTTGACAACCCAGAAATGCCAAAGGGTTCAGATGGAAGAAAAAAGCCCCAGGAACAGCCAGTTCTCTCTGACCATAGAACTTGTCGTAGCCTAGCAAGACAGAAAACTGTTAGATAATAACCAGTGTACTCCAGCTAAACAACAAACAAAAAATTGAAAAAAGAAATCAGAAAAAAACCAACCCATCTCTACTCAGAGAACCCATTACAACAAAGTAGGAGCTTAGATTTATACCCTTGTGCAGTATAATGAAGTGCCCCGATCACTGGGTGATGTCAGAGGAGACCAAATAGCGGGTTGAGACTTTCATCCCATTCGGTTGGTAATGAGCTCCCCAAGCCTTGTGATATCAGTGGAGACTGCAGGGTGAGCCTGGGCTTCCATCACTGCCTGGTAGTTACAAAGGCCCCCCTCTCACACCCTGTTAAGATGATGTCAGAGGAGGCCTGAAGGACAGTCATGGCTTTCACCATTGCCGGCTGTAATGAAGCCACCCTTGTCGTACTGTCATTGGAGATCACCTGAGGAGCTAGACCTCCCACCGCTGCCCTGCTATAATGAGAAGGAGTGTCAACAGAAGGTGAGTGAGCGGGGAATCTGAATTTCTACCTCCACCCAGCAGTAACAGGTCTGAGTCCATATGCCCCTTCCTCCTCTACCTGAGTTCCTCCACAAACCAAAAAACAAACAAACAAACAAAAAACTAGCTAAAACATAAAGTTTAAATAATATCCAGAGTCTTATAACATAAAATAAAAATGTTCAGGTTTCAATCAGAAGCCACTCGTCAAGATCTCAAAATGAATGGAAAAAAACAATCAGTAGAAGCCAATGATGGGATGACATCTGTAAGGATTTTAAAGCAGCCATGGTAAAAAGATTAAAATGCTTCGGTGAGCAATTATAAATGCACTTGAAAACAAATAAAAAAGAAAAAGCCTCAGCAAAGTATCAGACAAGAAATAAAAGACGTAATGAAGAACCAAATAAAATTTTAGAACTGAAAAATACAAACACTGAAATATAAAGCTCAGTGGGCTCAACAGAAGAATGAAGGGACAGAGGAAAGAGTCATTGAACTGGGAGTTAGAACAACAGGAGTTAATCTGAACAATAGAGAGGAAAAAGATTAAAAAGTTTAGAGGAAAGAATCATTGAACTGGGAATTAGAACAATAGAAGTTAATCTGAACAAAAGAGAGGAAAAATATTAAAAAGTTTACAGAGCATTAGATCTGTGGAACTACAACAAAAAACTAACATTTGTGTCATCAAAGTTGCAAAAGAAGGGGAAAAAGACTATAGGGCTGAAAAAGTATTCAAAGAAATAATGACTAAAATCTCCTCAAATTTGGCAATACACATAAACCTACAAAATCAGGAAGCAGGGCAAATGACAAACAGGATGAATCTAAGGAAATCCTTGCTAAGACACATAATAATTAAACTTCTGAAACCTAAAGACAAAGAAAAGATTTTTGATGTCTAAAGACTTATATCTCTATGAAGATTAAAGTTTGGGAGGTTAGTTTATAATCTTAAGCTAGGTGTGAAGGAAAGGTCATAGGATTCAAGAAGTCATAATAGGAGGAATGATTCATTGGATGATTAAAATATTGGTTGTACCAGAGATGGCCAGCAAACCACCAGCAACCACGGGAGAAGCATGGATCAGCTTCTTCCTCACTGCCCGGGAAGGAACCAATCCCACCAAAACCTTGATCTCAGACTTCTAGCTGCCAAAACTGAAACAGTAAATTTCTTCTTTTAAGTCACAAAAATAAAAATAAAATGGCTCTGCCCTTTTTATGAGTTTCAGACATGTGGATCATTTGCCTTCAGAGAACCACTGAAACCACAGGGCAGGGCAAAATGTAGCTGAACTTTTTGCATTAACAGATTGCCTATACCCTGATTAACCAGTCCTTTCAAAGGTGACTCAGCTGTACATATAAAGAATGGCATATGTAAAACATAAATGTTCTTTGGAGATAATAGACAATGATTTGATATACTCACATATCTCTTTTTCACAGAAAGACTGACATTTATGTTGTTAATCTCTACTGATTCACTTGGTAGCAATTGTTTCACTAGATTGTTAATGTCTGAAAGACAATATTGTCCAGTTTCTTAGAGTAGAAGGGAATGCATGGATCATAGCAATAATCAGTTAATGTTTGCAGAAAGCATATATGCAGGATAAGAACTGCAATATATGAATGACTGTCTGTGTAAATGGATAGGCATTTGTCCAAGAGACAAAACAAAGCCCTTATAAAAATAAAGCCTTTTTTTGTGCTTAAAAAACTTGAGAAATGGTAGCTATATTTTTGTTGTTTTGCTTTTCTAGACAATTTGGTTTTCTAGACAATTCCTGGCATTCTGTATAACCAATAAATATACATTCACTCAAATAGGTTAGAAAAACTATAGAAGCAGGTAAAAGTGAAAGAGGCATTTTATAATTTGGCAAGCAGTGAATATTAGCAGTTTTAAGTTTTAAAACAGAAAAGACACTAGTGCATAATTATATAGATATTAGCATAACTATGATATCTAAAGCATGTGACCTAACTTTAACTGCAATATTTGTCAATTTTATTTTTATTAATTATATGATTATAATGAAATTATAAATTTATAAATTATAAAAAATATGTTTTTATTAGTTTTTACTAGTTAATGACACAGATAAATTGATTTCAAAAGAGTTTTAAAATTCTTTAAAACTTTTAGTGTCAGAACCTAGAATTACCAATTTGAATTAATGGAATTTAAAAACTTGTTTTTAATGCATCAGTGTATGTTATTGTATGTGTGTGTGCATGCATACATTTTAACAGAATTATAGAATTATAATTCATGAACCATACAATTCACTCATTTAAAGTGCACAATTCAACAGTTTTTAGTATATTCCCAGAGTTGTGCAAGCATCACCATCATCTAATTCCAATATATTTTCATCACCCCAAAAATAAACTTCATGCCCATTAGTGATCTCTCTCCATTCTTCCCTTACCCCAGCTCTTGGCAACCACTAATCTACTTTCTGTCTCAATGGATTTGCCTATTCTGGATAGTACATATAAAAGGGATCATGCAATATGTGGTCTTTTGTGACTGAATTTTTTCAACATAACATAATATTTTAAAGTTTCATCCATGTTGTAGCTTATGTCAGAACTTTATTTTGAACTAAGCCTTGTGGAGCAATGTATTTTAGAATGACTAAGTAAATTGAAGGATAAAAATTTCAAGAAATTCTCACTCTCAGCTGGAATTACCATGCTATTATGATTTTGTAGATAAAATTGTGATCCATGCACACAGGTGCTTAATCTATTTGCTAAGTCAGTTTGTTTACTGCTTACATTGCTTAACTCATTTTGTTGAATATCTATCTGTATATTCTATCTACCTGTAGCAAATATCTATGTCTATTTCTATATTATCTATATCCAACTATGACTCCTAACACTGCACTTGGAAAACAATGTTACTTCATAAATGCTAAATAAATGAGTGAACGAATGTATACGAAAATGGAGTCAACTCTAAAGTTGCCCAGTTTCAGTTTCTACTAGATTTTACATTAGACAGAGACGTAAGCCAAAGAGTTTCTTGGAATATGTACTCAATGATAAACTATATTAAAGAGTTAAAAACATAATCAGCAACATTAGGGAAATAAAGTTTTAATTAAATAGTTTATAGACCAAAGGTGGCTAAAATCATGTATGGCCAATGAACATAATTGACAGAACTTGCCAATCGAAGAAGAGTCAAAACAGATGAGAATATATATAAAATTACCTAAACACACTAGCAACTATACTAATGTCTACTTTTAAGAATGACCTGCGAGAAAATCAATTTGTGTTGATGAATACTGTGGGAAGAACTAGAATTTTCACACCCAGGCTCCTGTACCTGGATGGCCATTACATTTTTCCATTTTCACACTCCAAGGGAATGTAGAAGGGAAAGCCAACTGTGTGAAATAACGGAAGCACTGGGAGGTCAGTGAAATACAATTCAGACAAAGCGAACAACCTTCCAAATAGTTCCAAGCATCTTCTTAAGCAGGTGTCTACTCCAACAATGATGCTTTCAATGGTGAATAAAGGCTGATGTATGTTTTTAAGAAATCAGAAGTCACTAAAAAATGAAAGTCTTGACAGACAGCCCTGCTAGTTTCAAATATTCTGTAATTTTACCCAGATGTATTTTTGGTTTTCTAAGCAGTGCTTGTACTGAAATGTCAGATGGGCTAGAGAATATTTCATGTTAGCTTTGTGGATGATTCGGCTGCCTTTTGTTATTTACTTGGAGAGCAAAAGCTGAGAGCTGTAGTTAAGCTTAAAGGCAACATTAATTTGCATGTAGAGTCAGTGATCTTTGTCAGAAGTGCTTTTCAAATCCAATTTACCAACCAAAAATATCAAGAAACAGTGAAGGAATATTACATTGCATAACTACCTCCTTCACAGAATGGTTATTAGTTGAGAACTATTAAAATGTAATTCTTTAAGATAACCTGGATTTTAATAAATCTACTTTCAGATTAGTTATTAATACTTCAGAATTATCCAAGTTTAGAGAATATAAATCCATAAGTTTAACATTATTTTTTAAAGTAGTAAATATGAATAGATTCAAAATATTAAAAGTCTTTATTATAATACAGTTATCCCTTGAACAAATCAGGTTTGAACTGTGCAGGCTCTCTCTCTCTTTTCTTTTTTTTTCTTTTTCTTTTCTTTTCTTTTTTTTTTTTTTGATACAGGATCTTGCTCTGTCACCCAGGCTGGAATGCAGTGGCATGATCTTGGCTCACCACAACATCCACCTCCCGGGTTCAAGTGGTTCTCCTGTCTCAGCCTCCCGAGTAGCTGGGATTACAGGGGCACACCATCACGACCAGGCCAAGCTCTCTTATATGCAGATTTTCTTCTGCCTCTGTTCAGAGCCTTGAGACAGAAGGACCAACCTCTTCTCTTCCTCATCTTCCTCAGCCTTCTCAATATAAATAAGAGGAGGAGGATGACTTTATGATGATTCACTTCAGCTTAATAAATAGTAAATGTATTTTCTCTTCCTTTTGATTTTCTGAATAACATTTTCTTTTTCCTAGCTTACTTCATAAAGGTAGAATAAAGAATAGAGTATAAAATATAATAAGAATAGAGTATAAAATACAATAATATACAAAATGTGTTAATTGACTATGCTATTGGTAAGGCTTCCAGTCAACAGTAGTTGACTTAGTAGTTAAGTACTAAAACTTAGTAGTTAAGTTTTTGGAGAGTCAAGCCACATGCAAATTTTCAACTGCGCAAAGGTCTGCGTCCCTGATTTGCAAATTGTCACCTATGTTTTAATTTGTAAATGGCTAATTTTAAACATAAGGATTCAATTTTAAAGTGAAAATTGTAACTGGATAAACTGCATCTATATACCTTCCTAAAAACTTAAGATATAATCACTATAAAAGACAAAGTATTAATAAATTTATATTTATTATATCATAATTATCTCATGATTTATGACTCACAATCTATATCTCAGGAATATCTGAATGTGAACACTAATATTTCATAATTCAGACCTCATAATTTCATAATATCAATATTTCATAATTTCATCAAGGAATTATATATTTTTCATTAATCCTAAATAAAATGTTAATTTTGTAGTTTCTGTATAATTCAATTTGTAAAATTATTGGTCACCTCCCGTGTGCCTAGGTACTTCTAAATGTGGTGCTCAAAATGACTAAGACATGGTACCTGTGCTTAATAAGTTCCTAGTCTAGCATGGAAGATAGACACAGTAATAAATCATCTACTTTATGATAACTGCAACATAAATTTATACAAGAAACAAGATATTTCCCAGAGAATAGAATAATTAGTAATGCAGGGGTGTTGCCCAGGGAAATTTTTCTGGAAGAAGCTATATCTGAACTGAGGCTTAAAACAGTCACAGCCAATTTGCCAGCTGGGTGAGGAGGGAAGGATAGAAGATATTCCAGGCAATGCCTCTTCCATGTCCACAGGCAAGAAATATGAAATATTACAATATGATCTGGGACCCAAGGAATTACAGCCACTGCTATCTGAACTGTATCATTGTAAATAAAAAAGAAAATCTTCATATACTGCAGTCATTAATTTGACACATTTCAAAACAGCCTGGGCTAGAATGCCAATAGAATTATAACTTATAAAAGTACATAGATTTTCTTTAATGGATTTTTTTGACATATGAATAAATATATTTTTTACTGTGGTTGCAAACAAGACTGTAGGAGTGTAGCTACATTATTTTAAACCTGTAGTTTAATAGGCAACAAACGCAGAAATAGACTAATGGGATTACGTCAAACTAAGAAGCTTTTGAACAACAAAGAAAACAGCAGTGAAGAGGCAACCTACAGAACAGGAGAAAATATTTGCAAACTATGTATTTGGTAAGGGGTTAATATCCAAAGTATATAAGAAACTCAATAGCAAGACAAATAACTTGATTAAAATATGGGCAAAGGACATGAATAGACATTTCTTAAAAGAAGACATACAGATGATACCCAAGTATAAAAAAATTTCAACATCACCAATCATCAGAGAAATGCAAATCAAAACCACAATAAGCTATCACCACCCATGGGTTATAATGGCTTTTATCAAAAAGACAAAAGATCACAAGTGTTGGTGAGGATGTGGAGAAAAGGGAAGTATTCTCGCCACAGAAATGATAAATATGTGTGGTAATGCATATGTTAATTAGCTAGATTTAGTCATTCTGCAATGTATCTATACAGCAAAACACCATGTTGGACACAGTAAATACATAGAATTTTATCTGTCATTGTAAAAAATAAAATAAACCTGTAGCTTTGAATGCAAGATACATTATGCCTTTTAAATCCTCATTTTATCCCTTAACAGCTTCATGACCATGGGTAAGTCATTAACCTCTAGGCATCTGTGAACTAAATATGACAGTCACAGTTTTGACCTGTCCATATTCCTTCTAAAGGAAACTATCTGCTTACAGCCCCTGTGACATTTAGGTGGACTATAAAAAAAATTCTACTATATGACATTTAAATTTCATTCATCTGTCACCTCCCCTTCTCTTCAGGAAAGATTCCAATTATTCATGTGAAATATGGATAGTAAGGACTGTACATACCTGCATAATTTACCTCATACATAAATAAAAAAAGAATTGCACAGTATTTTCTCTTTTCCCAAATAGAACTAAGACATTCCTTTTGATTTTCATATCAAAAGTTTATGTAATTGTTCTTAGAGGAATCTTGTAATTGAAGACTATGGACTTTGGAGGCTTAAGAGATGAAAATTAAACTATAGCCTCATTATTCTCTACCCTTGTGATGTGGACAAGTTGCTTCACTTCTGAGCCTTGCTTTTTGATTCTGTAAAATGAACAATAGTACCGACTGTTAATTTTGCTCCCATATATTGAGTATTTGCTATATGCACGTCACTTTGCTAAGAATTTCATTATCATGTTCTATTTCAATAATCAAAACAGCATTTTGACATATTTTCAATGCCATTTGCAAAGGAGGAAACAGACTCAGAGAAGCTAAATAATTTGACTGTCACTTGGCAAGTGAGTGAATATGAAACCCAGTGAAGCTGATTCTAAATCTTGATTCCTAACCACTATACTCTACTGCCTCCATATTTTTCAAGATTATGGTGAAGATTGAAAGAAATAATGTATATAATGAATTATGATCTTCCTGGCAAAGCATCAGTACCTGACAAATGTTATAATAGTTCCCTTTTCCTACTTCATTCTTTACTGCTATTTTATTTAAGGGACCTAAAGAGTGGAAATGTATTCATAAGCAATGTATTTCACTATTAAATCGTATAACAGCAAAAGATTTTAATGGACCATGGAACTCATTTATATGAGATTTAAAAAAGATGATTTCCCTTTTGGTCTTCAAAAATTGAATTTAAAGAAAGTCTTTAAAGATTTCAAAAATTAATTTTCTTTCTGCCAAATTTTTAATGAGCTGCTAGACTGATTTTCTGGAACATATCAGTGACTTTACTATTCTCTCAGAGGACTTGACTGCTGCTTGGAGACACCCACAGACACTGGTAAGGCTAAGTTTTGTGGCTGCTGCCAGATTCTCTGGGGGAAAAAAAAGAGCATTGCTACGTGAGATGCATTTAGTATAAAATAGTTATGATAGAAGAAGAAAAGAATGTGTTTCTTCACTGACAGTTCGACTTTTCAGATTTTAAGCTTCTGTAAGTAACTAAAAAGAGATGAAATATTAAAGCCCAGCAACCTATGTGAATTAGCCATCTTTATATTCCTTTTAGATAAAAATAGCACTATGTCCATGTAGTAAAACATGCTTAACCCTCATTGCGGTGTGAGGGATTTGCTGTATTTCTCATTTGACTCAGATGTGCAGTCACATATTAAATAATGGAGCCACCATATTCTTTTGTTACTTGTGAGAATGCAGTATAATATGAGTTATAACAGAGAATGACTTCTCTTTGTTCTACCAGGATTCATCAACTCCATGGTTTAGCTGTAACTAAGATCAAAGTTTGGACCTAAAAATATACTTAAATATGCCACCAAAGCAGATTTTCTTAAATAACATATTAGAAATCTCAGTAGCACAGGGAGGCTTATAAGGTGACTTTGGACAATGGTTTTATGTAGTTCTGCCCATGCCTGGTAGTGAAATATGGGTGGATAAATTGGCTAAGCCAAATTTATACCCTTTATATACCTCTTTCTGGCAAAGTCTTAGCCAATGAGAGCAAATGTTATATAGCAAGGCAGACTGAAGCTGCAGAGACTTACATTTTTGTTCCATGTAACACCTACAAGTTAAATTAAATGTAATCATACCTTCCTGTTTAACATCTGTATAGGAAATAGAAGACAGGGGAAATTCTTTTGGTGGGTGCAGTTTGAATTATTTGAAAACTAGCTTGTCTAAAGAAAACCAGGCAATATGGTTTTCTCCAAGAAGACTTCGGTGTCTGTCCAGTGGCCTGCAGGGATATGTTAGTATTAGCTTTGGACTTTGGGTAGTGTGTAACTTAATATAATGGTTTGGCTAATGCTGTGGTAATTAAAATATATTGCTGAGAAATTGATATTTTCTTAAGAAGGGTAGAGGACTAAGATATACAACATTTATTGGTTTTTAACTCTGTGCTAGGCACTGGACTAAGCCAATCTAGAATTTGGATTATTTCTCAGTGAGAAACACTATTGTGTAAGGTAGCATAAAATAGAGTTTTCCTTGTGCATCTCATTTAATGCTTGCTAAAACCCCAAAGAGGTAGGTATTATTTCAACTTAACAGGTGAGCAGATGAGCTTAATGATTTAAGGTATACATTCGTGGTCACACGGGTAATCATGGTGGATACAGGCTTCTAGTTCTAGGGTCATTTTCTAAAATAACTATACTTTCTGATTAAGAGTAGCCTCAGAATTTAATGAGAACAGAAGTGTCTATATATTTCTCAAAATAGATTCATGGATTTAAACGTAGTACTTCTCATAGTACAGAGAATTATCATGTCTTAATAAATACTAGTGTTGTCTATTTTTGTCACCCATTCCTCTCCAAGGAAGAAACATTTGTTAATATATATACTCAGAGTTTGTCATTCACTGGACTACAATTAATCATTGGTAAGATTATGCTTATTTTGCAAGCATAGAGACCCATGCTCCCTTCTCTTTTTAAAACTTCTAGTTTTAGACACTGAGGTCAAGATAGTCAATTTTGTTGCCATTTCTGCTTGAATTCCATGTAGGAGAATTGATCAACCAAGTTAGGGATACTATTAAAGCTTGGTTGCTGCTTCTATGTAGTAAGTCCTGAGAATGTGCTTCATAATTTATGGAGGAAGGGAGGTGGTGTTAAAACGTGAGGATAGGAGCCGGGAGTGGTGGCTCACGCGTGTAATCCCAGCAATTCAGGAGGACGAGGCGGGCAGATCACCTGAGGTAGGGAGTTGGAGACAAGCCTGACCAACATGGAGAAACCCCATTTCTACTAAAAATACAAAATTAGCCGGGAGTGGTGGTGCATGCCTGTAATTTCAGCTACTTGGGAGACTGAGGCAGGAGAATCACTTGAACATGGGAGGCAGAGGTTGCGGTGAGCCAAGATCGTGCCTGAACAACAAGAGTGAAACTCCCTCTCAAAAAAAAAAAATAAATAAAAGTGAGGATAGGAAGAGGAAGAGGCTCTGATGAGACCCTGAGACCAAAGCTTGTGTTCTAAATTAACTTTTGGTGCAGTTGGAATATTGATTACTTGCAGAAGTGTTAGGGGTTAATAAATGGTAGTTTGATTTAAATTCTCTTTGGTTCCTTGTGTAAGGGTTCCTTAGAAATTCTGTGTGGAAATAGGAGTGGTTTGGGTTGGCAATGAATTAGAATATCTTGGAGTTCATGGAAGTGATGTCTTCCAAATGCTATCACAACCTTATGCACATTGATACTGACTTTTGTTTGGTACTTGAAACATATTCTCAAAATTTGTCATTTGTCTTTTTAAACTTTCTTGAGAGTATCTTCTACCATAGAGTAATTTTATTGATAATGGTAGTCAAATATGGTAGTCTTATTCTATATTATTTGATTTTGGTAATACGTTAAGAAAGGACTTTCCCATTGTAAAACTTAAAATTTTACTTCTTTTTTTTCAGTCTTTTTTTTTTTACCTTTAAAAAATATTTAAATCATTGATCCACATGAAATTTTGTTTTGTATGGTATATGGTGGGAAGCTAATAATTACTAACATCCCTTCCACCCAAATATTTAGGCATTTTCTCCAACATTATTGATTACTTTTACTAGTTTTAAAATTCGAATAGTAATAAATCCACTATTTGCCCTTTACATGCTTACCTACAACCTTAATATACTCCAATATGATTTGTGGGATTTAAAATCATATTACTTTGTAGAAAAATGTACAAAATGTGAATATCCTCTTTTGAAGCCATCATAATACTAATGTTTGATGAATAATTGAGCATATTTATCTTTTCCCTATTGATTCTTAAATGTGAATGCCTTTTATGGTCACACTGACCATTGCAGCCTGTCTTAATTAGAGATATTCTAAGAGATGAAATAAGGGTTCCCTGTGAACTCAGGGAAGCAGCACCCCAACGCTGCCTTCGCAGAACACAGAAAAACTGAAGTCACAGTTTTTTGCAAAAACAAAAAACAAAAAACAAAAAATGACCTCCGTCCTATCGAGTTTTAATAATAGAAAAATGTCATTGATTCAAGGAATGTCAGTGCTGGCTAGAACCATGATTATATCTCTAAATCAACCTGGCATTTGATATATGAGCAAACTGAGGCCTGGTGAGGCAAAAATGCAGAGATAAGTCTAAAATTCAGATAAACCTTAATAATAAATAGTGGTATCAACAATTATTTTAATATGCTCAATATTGTGGGCTCCATATTAGACATCACTTAAATTCTTTAAATAACCACAATATTATTTTTATTCTTTTTTAATTGAGAAAACTGAAGTTCAGAAGACTCGGGTAACTTTTTTTTTTATTATACTTTAAGTTTTAGGGTACAAGTGCACAACATGCAGGTTAGTTACATATGTATACATGTGCCATGTTGTTGTGCTGCACCCAGCAACTCGTCATTTAACATTAGGTATATCTCCTAATGCTATCCCTCCCCCCACCCCACAACAGGCTCTGGTGTGTGATGTTCCCCTTCCTGTCTCCATGTGTTCTCATTGTTCAATTCCCACCTATGAGTGAGAATATGCAGTGTTTGGTTTTCTGTCCTTGTGATAGTTTGCTGAGAATTATGGTTTCCAGTTTCATCCATGTCCCTACAAAGGACATGAACTCATCATTTTTTATAGCTGCATAGTATTCCATGGTGTATATGTGCCACATTTTCTTAATGCAGTCTATCATTGTTGGACATTTGGGTTGGTTCCAAGTCTTTGCTATTGTGAATAGTGCCGCAATAAACATACCTATTCATGTATCTTTATAGCAGCATGTTTTATAATCCTTTGGGTATATACCCAGTAATGGGATTGCTGTGTCAAATGGTATTTCCAGTGCTCGATCCCGGAGGAATCTCCACACTGACTTCCACAATGGTTGAACTAGTTTACCATCCCACCAACAGTGTAAAAGTGTTCCTATTTCTCCACATCCTGTCCAGCACCTGTTGTTTCCTGACTTTTTAATGATCGTCATTCTAACTGCTGTGAGATGATATCTCATTGTGTTTTTGATTTGCATTTCTCTGATGGCCAGTGATGATGAGCATTTTTTCATGTGTCTTTTAGCTGCATAAATATCTTCTTTTGAGAAGTGTCTGTTCATATCCTTTGCCCACTTTTTGATGGGGTTGTTTGTTTTTTTCTTGTAAATTTGTTTGTGTTCATTGTAGATTCTGGATATTAGCCCTTTGTCAGATGAGTAGATTGCAAAAATTTTCTCCCATTCTGTAGGTTGCCTGTTCACTCTGATGGTAGTTTCTTTTGCTGTGCAGAAGCTCTTGAGTTTCATTAGATCCCATTTGTCAATTTTGGCTTTTGTTGCCATTGCTTTTTGTGTTTTAGACATGAAGTCCTTGCCCATGACTATGTCCTGAATGGTATTGCCTAGGTTTTCTTCTAGGGTTTTTATGGTTTTAGGTCTAACATTTAAGTCTTTAATCCATCTTGAATTAATTTTTGTATAAGGTGTAAGGAAGGATCCAGTTTCAACTTTCTACATATGGCTAGCCAGTTTTCCCAGCACCATTTATTAAATAGGGAATTGTTTCCCCATTGCTTGTTTTTCTCAGGTTTGTCAAAGATCAGATGGTTGTAGATATGCAGCATTATTTCTGAGGGCTCTGTTCTGTTCCATTGGTCTATATCTCTGTTTTGGTACCAGTACCATGCTGTTTTGGTTCCTGTAGCCTTGTAGTATAGTTTGAAGTCAGGTAGTGTGATGCCTCCAGCTTTGTTCTTTTGGCTTAGGATTGACTTGGCAACGTGGGCTCTTTTTTGGTTCCATATGAACTTTAAATTAGTTTTTTCCAATTCTGTGAAGAAAGTCATTGGTAGCTTGATGGGGATGGCATTGAATCTATAAATTACCTTGGGCAGTATGGCCATGTTCACAATATTGATTCTTCCTACACATGAGCATGGAATGTTCTTCCATTTGTTTGTATCCTCTTTTATTTCATTGAGCAGTTGTTTGTAGTTCTCCTTGAAGAGGTCCTTCATGTCCCTTGTACGTTGGATTCCTAGGTATTTTATTCTCTTTGAAGCAATTGTGAATGGGAGTTCACTCATGATTTGGCTCTCTGTTTGTCTGTTATTGGTGTATAAGAATGCTTGTGATTTTTGTACATTGATTTTGTATCCTGAGACTTTGCTGAAGTTGCTTATCAGCTTACGGAGATTTTGGGCTGAGATGATGGGGTTTTCTAGATATACAATCATGTCATCTGCAAACAGGGACAATTTGACTTCCTCCTTTCCTAATTGAATACCCTTTATTTCTTTCTCCTGCCTGATTGCCCTGGCCAGAACTTCCAACAATATATTGAATAGGAGTGGTGAGAGAGGGCATTCCTGTCTTGTGCCAGTTTTCAAAGGGAATGCTTCCAGTTTTTGCTCATTCAGTATAATATTGGCTGTGGGTTTGTCATAAATAGCTCTTATTATTTTGAGATATGTCCCATCAATACCTAATTTATTGAGAGTTTTTAGCATGAAGCATTGTTGAATATTGTCAAAGGTCTTTTCTGCATCTATTGAGATAATCATGTGTTTTTTGCCATTGGTTCTGTTTATATGCTGGATTATGTTTATTGATTTGTGTATGTTGAACCAGCCTTGCATCCCAGGGATGAAGCCCACTTGATCATGGTGGATAAGCTTTTTGATGTGCTGCTGGATTCAGTTTGCCAGTATTTTATTGGGGATTTTTGCATCAATGTTCATCAGGGATATTGGTCTAAAATTCTCTTTTTTTGTTGTATCTCTGCCAGGCTTTGGTATCAGGATGATGCTGGCCTCATAAAATGAGTTAGGGAGGATTCCCTCTTTTTCTATTGATTGGAATAGTTTCAGAAGGAATGGTACCAGCTCCTCCTTGTACCTCTGGTAGAATTTGGCTGTGAATCCATCTGGTCCTGGACTTTTTTTTGGTTGGTAAGCTATTAATTATTGCCTCAATTTCAGAGCCTGTTATTGGTCTATTCAGAGATTCAACTTCTTCCTGGTTTAGTCTTGGGAGGGTGTATGTGTCGAGGAATTTATCTATTTCTTCTAGATTTTCTAGTTTATTTGCATAGAGGTGTTTATAGTATTCTCTGAGGGTAGTTTATATTTCTGTGGGATTGGTGGTGATAGCCCCTTTATCATTTTTTATTGCATCTATTTGATTCTTCTCTCTTTTCTTCTTTCTTAGTCTTGCTAGTGGTCTGTCAATTTTGTTGATCTTTTCGAAAAACCAGCTCCTGCATTCATTGATTTTTTGAAGGGTTTTTTGTGTCTCTATCTCCTTCAGTTCTGCTCTGATTTTAGTTATTTCTTGCCTTCTGCTAGCTTTTGAATGTGTTTGCTCTTGCTTCTCTAGTTCTTTTAATTGTGATGTTAGGGTGTCCATTTTAGATCTTTCCTGCTTTCTCTTGTGGGCCTTTAGTGCTATAAATTTCCCTCTATACACTGCTTTGAATGTGTCCCAGAGATTCTGGTATGTTTTGTCTTTGTTCTCGTTGGTTTCAAAGAACATCTTTATTTCTGCCTTCATTTTGTTATGTACCCAGTAGTCATTCAGGAGCAGGTTGTTCAATTTCCATGTAGTTGAGCAGTTTTTAGTGAGATTCTTAATCCTGAGTTCTAGTTTGATTGCACTGTGGTCTGAGAGACAGTTTGCCATAATTTCTGTTCTTTTACATTTGCTGAGGAGTGCTTTACTTCCAACTATGTGGTCAATTTTGGAATAAGTGTGGTGTGGTGCTGAGAAGAATGTATATTCGGTTGATTTGGTGGAGAGTTCTGTAGATGTCTATTAGGTCCACTTGGTGCAGAGCTGAGTTCAATTCCTGGATATCCTTGTTAACTTTCTGTCTCGTTGATCTGTCTAATGTTGACAGTGGGGTGTTAAAGTCTCCCATTATTATTGTGTGGGAGTGTAAGTCTCTTCCTTGGTCTCTAAGGACTTGCTTTATGAATCTGGGTGCTCCTGTATTGGGTGCATATATATTTAGGATAGTTAGCTCTTCTTGTGGAATTTATCCCTTTACTATTACGTAATGGCCTTCTTTGTCTCTTTTGATCTTTGTTGGTTTAAAGTCTGTTTTATCTGAGACTAGGATTGCAACCTGTGTCTTTTTTTATTTTCCATTTGCTTGGTAGATCTTCCTCCATCCCTTTATTTTAAGCCTATGTGTGTTTCTGCACATGAGATGGGTTTCCTGAATACAGCACACTGACGGGTCTTGACTCTATTCAATTTGCCAGTCTGTGTCTTTTAATTGGAGCATTTAGCCCGTTTACATTTAAGGTTAATATTGTTATGTGTGAATTTGATCCTGTCATTATGATGTTAGCTAGTTATTTTGCTCGTTAGTTGATGCAGTTTCTTCCTAGCCTCGATGGTCTTTACAATTTGGCATGTTTTTGCAGTGGCTGGTACCAGTTGTTCCTTTCCATGTTTAGTGCTTCCTTCAGGAGCTCTTGTAGGGCAGGCCTGGTGGTGACAAAATCTCTCAGCATTTGCTTGTCTGTAAAGGATTTTATTTCTCCTTCACTTATGAAGCTTAGTTTGGCTGGATATGAAATTCTGGGTTGAAAATTCTTTTCTTTAAGAATGTTGAATATTGGCCCCCACTCTCTTCTGGCCTGTAGAGTTTCTGCTGAGAGATCAGCTGTTTGTCTGATGGGCTTCCCTTTGTGGGTAACCTGACCTTTCTCTCTGGCTGCCCTTAACATTTTTTCCTTCCTTTCAACTTTGGTGAATCTGACAATTATGTGTCTTGGAGTTGCTCTTCTTGAGGAGTATCTTTGTGGCGTTCTCTGTATTTTCTGAATCTGAATGTTGGCCTGCCTTGCTAGATTGGGGAAGTTCTCCTGGATAATATCCTGCAGAACGTTTTCCACCTTGGTTCCATTCTCCCCGTCACTTTCAGGTACACCAGTCAGGCATAGATTTGGTCTTTTCACATAGTCCCGTATTTCTTGGAGGCTTTGTTCGTTTCTTTTTATTCTTTTTTCTTTAAACTTCTCTTCTCACTTCATTTCATTCGTTTGATCTTCCATCACTTTTACCCTTTCTTCCAGTTGATTGAGTCAGCTACTGAGCCTTGTGCATTCATCACGTAGTTCTCATGCCTTAGTTTTCAACTCCATCAGGTCCTTGAAGGACTTCTCTGCATTGGTTATTCTAGTTAGCCATTCGTCTAATTTTTTGTGAAGGTTTTTAACTTTTTTGCCATGGTTTCGAACTTCCTCCTTTAGCTCAGAGTAGTTTGATCATCTGAAGCCCTCTTCTCTCAACTCGTCAAAGTCATTCTCTGTCCAGCTTTGTTCTGTTGCTGGTGAGGAGCTGTGTTCCTTTGGAGGAGGAGAGGCACTCTGATTTTTAGAGTTTCCAGTTTTTCTGCTCTGTTTTTTCCCCATCTTTGTGGTTTTTATCTACCTTTGGTCTTTGATGTTGTTGATGTGCAGATGGGGTTTTGGTGTGCATGTCCTTTCTGTTTTTTAGTTTTCCTTGTAGCAGACAGGACCTTCAGCTGCATGTCTGTTGGAGTTTGCTGGAGGTCCACTCCAGACGCTGTTTTCCTGGGTATCAGCAGCGGAGGCTGCAGAACAGCGGATATTGGTGAACAGCAAATGTTGCTGCCTGATCGTTCCTCTGCAAGTTTTGTCTCAGAGGAGTACCTGGCCGTGTGAGGTGTTAGTCAGTTCCTACTGGGGGGTGCCTCCCAATTAGGCTACTCAGGGGTCAGGGACCCACTTGAGGAGGCAGTCTGTCCGTTCTCAGATCTCCAGCTGCGTGTTGGGAGAACCACTACTCTCTTCAAAGCTGTCAGACGGGGAAATTTAAGTCTGCAGAGGATTCTGCTGCCTGTTGTTTGGAAATGCCCTGCCCCCAGAGGTGGAGTCTACAAAGGCAGGCAGGCCTCCTTGAGCTGTGGTGGGCTCCACCCAGTTCGAGCTTCCAGGCTGCTTTGTTTACCTACTCAAGCCTGGGCAATGGCGGGTGCCCCTCCCCCAGCCTCACTGCCGCCTTGCAGTTTGATCTCAGACTGCTGTGCTATCAATGAGCAAGGCTCCGTGGGTGTAGGACCCTCAGAGCCAGGTGCAGGATATAATCTCCTGGTGTGCCATTTGCTAAGACCGTTGGAAAAGCGCAGTATTAGGGTGGGAGTGACCTGATTTTCCAGGTGCCGTCTGTCACCCCTTTCTTTGACTAGGAAAGGAAATTCCTTGACCCCTTGCACTTCCGGGGTGAGGCAGTGCCTAGCCCTGCGTCGGCTCACACTTGGTGCACTGCACCCACTGTCCTGCACCCACTTTCCGACACTCCCCCATGAGATGAACCCGGTACCTCAGTTGGAAATGCAGAAATCATCTGTCTTCTGCGTCGCTCATGCTGGGAGCTGTAGACTGGAGCTGTTCCTATTCGGCCATGTTGGCTCCACCCCCTCAGGTAACTTACTCATATACATATAAGCTGGGATTTACACTCAGATTGGTCCAATCCAAAGTTAGAGCTAATTTTTCAGTTTGCTAATTTTCCTCGGTTTTTCCTTTTACATCTGCGCTTAGTGACAAAGGATAGCAAGCTAAATATGATAATTGAAGAAATGCCTTCCACTAAGAATATCTATATTCAGTGACTGCCAATCCTATGAATTAAGCTTTGTATTTCTGCAGTGCTGCAGGAAACTCACAGAGAAGGGTTATTTCCTGAGTGACTATTTCTTTTGAACAAAGATGGAGTTATGGATGAAAGATTTCTGCAATTATTTTGAAGGCATTTTTATACAAACTTTTATACTTACCTATAATTAGGACTGTCTTGGCGACTTTACCAAATACTTTAAGTTAGTAAACCGTGTCAGGATACATTTGCTTTCTGCAAGGTAGACATCATCCTTTATAATTTAATAAAATAGAAATATTTTATAGTAAGAACTTCATTTAAAGTAACAGTTTGAAATGTGCTGGGTATAGCTTCTGGGCTTGCTTAATTTATTGATAGCCTATTTCAGTTTTCTAGCTTGCACCCTCATGGTTCAGCTAAATTAAATAACTTTAAAATTGAAAAGAAGGAAGGGGTTCTATTTACCAGGGAAATTGGGAAACAGTAGAAATAGCCCCAGTTGCTTCCACCCTAATTTGACCCTTCATGTCCCAAAGACATATGATGTGGCTGGAGAAGGAGGTGATAGTAACTGTCTTTCTTGAACTTATCCTGCTTTTGGGTCCCCATATTAGGTTGCTTGGTTTGATTTTATTAAGGCAGTGGAGGGGCCTTAAGTTGCATCTCAAATCATCATCTGGACAAGAAAGCTGTACACTATGGCCACTCTCCTTTCGTTGATTTTGCTTATTCTCCTGCTAGATGCTCTCTATCCAAGTAGGGCTAGAATTTCACTGCTCTCTTCCCCAAGGTTATTATATCAGAAACGGCAAGTGAGGTAGAGAGGCTTGGTGTTATGTCTCAACCTATGGATTTAATTTTTGGATATTTTATAAATTAAAACAGCCTTTGGCTAGCTTACAATAACTAGTAAAAAGTTATTACTACTCATTACTAGTAATATGACAAATACATTAATCAGGTAAAAATATAAATATAATTACTATTCAAGTCCTGTACAAAATCTTAGTTTGTATTTGTTTTTTAAAGAAAATAAATATTATTTGAATAGTAATGAAAAAACAGTATATTTAAAAATGTCCAATACTTTACTCTTTATTATAATTTAAACATTCACAAGCAGAGCTTTAAGAAACAACTGCAAAATGAAAGACATATTTCCATGCAGGAGGAGCTAACGTCTTTTATTGGGAGGGGATGGTGCTTCAGAAAAACCATGCAAATCCAGTGGGCAACTCAGATATTCAACAAGAAGGTAAAATGATGGTACTATCCTAAACTATGTGAAAAATTGAAATGAGAAATGTTGTGTTATTTGTTGCAAACTATTCTCAATACTTGGCTTTTCAGACAAATAAAAAAACACAGCCCAGAGCCAACACATTTCATCATTTAGATTACATTATAAAAAATGACAAAAACTTACTGGCTTGGAAATATTAAAGGCAACAAGATGGGATGTAGGATCCTGTTAATAGTTGTCAAATCTAGAGAAATTTCAAGCAAGATAGGAGGAGAGGTGGCAAATAGAAAGTTTCTGAGGCTCTTAAAAATAGTCTTTACAAAGCTGTTTCCCAAGTGGTTCTCTCTGGGGTGAAACCTATTCTGCATTTGGAACATCTTCCCACTTACCTTGTGAGGCCATGCAATTATTACACTTTAAGCCAGGCTTGCTGCGCTAATAATGGCAGTTAGACAGGGTCCAGTTGCTGAGGAAGACTTAGAGCCCAAAATGACAATGCTTATAAATTTACAGATTGTTTCCAAAAAAGATACAATATAGCAATATTATTAAAATAAGGATATGTGTGACAGCCAAAGGCTATCTCACAGCAAGGGGTCCAGGAAAGCCAGATGCAAACTCCAGTTGCCCTTCCTCTGTAAGTTCTGTATCAGGAACACATTTTCCCTCAGATCAGGAAGCAGACCTGAGCACAGAACACCTTGAAATCAGGGAGCCCAAAATAGTGTCTCGGCCAGGGTTTCTTACGGCCACTTGGTTAAGTACTTAACCAGCTTTTACTTGTTACTTAAGCAGCTCTTACATCAAAGTACCATTCCTGTCCACCCTGGTCCCCAGGTGTTTCACCAAGATCAGGTTTAAATCATCAGTCTCACTATTACCAATAAACAATGCTGACAAAATAGTATGAATGACACTGAAACTCCATCAACTCATGGTTAAAAAGCAATACTGTTAATTGGTATGTTTCATGGCCAAAGATCAGTGCCTTGCAGGTGCTTTGTTGAAACAGTCCTGGTGAATTCCAGACTTGCTGGAGTTAATCCTCATTGCACACTTGTAAGTAGCTATAGACTTGCCCACAAAAACTGTTCAGAAGATGTTGATTTTTTGCCAGATAATTAGAATATTGTTTTTTGAGTAGATATATATAGTGATGCTTTTGAATGTCTAATATGCTGATTGTATAAAACCACAAATGTTTTAAGAGTTGTGTTGTGAAAAGAACATTATTTTCATCTTTTACTTTTATCTAACGGTAAATTAAATGTCATGGTTCTTTCAGAAAATGGTCTCATTTAAATGCTGTGAAATGTATACATTATTATTCTGTAGGAGGCTTATATTCTTTCATACAGTACATAGTTGAATCTTGACACCATAAGTGAAGGTGAATGTATTACTAGTTTGTTCATTTGGGTACTGGTGTATGAAATTGTCCCAGTTATAAATTTATTGCCTCTTAGCTCCAAATCTGCCCTTCATTGCCCTGTTTGTGATAGTGGAACATTTCTTCCTTGTCAGCTGGCATGGTGCTAACCTTGTCAGTAAAGGGCTCTAGAGGGACGTATTAAGAGGAAGGGGCTTCTCTTCCTGTGTCTTGTGTGCTGTGCTTCTTCTTGCTTGTGTGGGTCTAGGGTGGCATGTAGGACATACAGTGGACCTCATCTTTGATGAATTCAGCAGATAGTTTTGGTTTTATTAGTTTCACAAATACTACCCATGGCTTTCTAGAAGCAAGTTAAGTGGCATGCCAGCTGCTGGCTGAATTCGTGTGGGCAGCATAGCTGTCTTCTACAGGGCAAATTCCAAGGGTACTCCATATACCTTCCTGGAGCCGTCCCAGTGATGGCCTTTTGTTGAGTTTCCTGTGGGCAGCTCTCGGGTAGCTTCCTGGTAAGGCTAGCTAGTGCCTGACCTAGCTAGAAGTTCAACAGCAACCCTAGTGTATAGTTCTGTGGTAAATTTTGTAGGTACCCCAGCAGATGAGTTTCTGTTTTTATTCTTAACCTGATAACTTTGAACAAACTCTGGCCCAGGAAAACCCAGAAATCTGTCATCCAGTGGGCTGCAATATTACCTTCTCCAGTGAGGTCTGAATCACCACCCTGGGGAGGAAGCCCCTCCCTCCACTTCTAAGTTTGTTCCTTCCTTGGGTATACAGCCTAGAATATTTGGGGGTTTTCTTTTATCCCTTCTTAGTTAATTTATTATACAAAGTTAATAATTCTTTATATTCAGTCTTCCCTGTTCAAATTACTTTGTGATGTTTAGTGCACAAATGTATCCACAACTGACACATGGACACAAAGAGGGAAACAACAGACACTGGAGCCTACCAGAGAGTAAAGGGTGGGAGGAGGGAGAGGGGCAGAGAAAATAACTATTGGGTACTAGGTTTAGTGCCTGGGTGATGAAATAATCTGTACATGAAACCCTGGTGACACAAGTTTACCTATATAACAAATCTGCAGGAGAACAGATTTGTTAAACTAACCTAAACCTAAAATAAAAATTTAGAAAAAGTTTCCATTTGGTTCTTCTTTAAAAATAACAAACAAAAGAAATAAAGAAAAAAACTAATATGACTGCTAGTAGCTTGGGAGATTTTATTGTTCTCATGAGGACAAGGAGTCCCATTAAAACTGGCCATGAGATACTTCTGTTAAACTCATCTCAAAGAGACATATGTATGTATGTATTCAGAGATTATCTTGTACGTTCTCCTATTTGTGAAGCCTTAAAATTCTTTAAATCTTAAAGTTCCTCATAAGAATTTTACTAGACATTTAACTTCTAGGAATATGAAGCCTGGCTCATCTTTTATTTCCAACATCACTAGATCAGGTGTGTATCAAAATTATAGAGAACTTTAATATAATCTAGAGGAAAGGTGAGCAGCCTTATAAGAAAATAAAGGCAACCAGATTATCACTGGGTAATCCAGTTTGAAAAGGAAACAGAGCTGGTTATAACATTACTTAGTACAAACTAATGGAGATTGAAAACTTTTTCCTGAATAGCAATAGAAGATAAAATTTTAATAAGATCAGTTTGACAGTTTTGATCCAATTGATGAGTCCCCCTTCAAAGTTCCATGCACCATAAGGAAATGTAATTATGAGAAAGGAAGTAATAGAGACAAATATTTGCTCATTGTTCCAAAGAGTCAGAAAAGAAGCAACAACCTGAAAGGATGAGACTGACTGATACCTAATAGCCTCTCTGGTGAGGAGAGCCATTATAGTGATGCTTCATCACTATGATTATAGTAACACTTCCTTCTGCAGGTGAAACATGTATTCTGTACCTAGAAGTTCTCTGTGACTTACACTACAGAACAGTGTAAGTAACACTCAGGCTACAGCCTCTGACAACCAGAAGAGCAGGATTCTCAGGCCAAAACTATGCAGAAATAAATACTGCTAATTATTGAAATATTAAAGTGTAGTTCTGATGCATCATTAGGGTTTTCCCAAGAGCCTAATTTTACTCATTTCTTTTTTCTCTCTAGAGAAAGGGCAATCAGGGAGCGAACCATTAGCAAACCATTAAGTACATGTAGTCCCCAAAGAAACTGTACTGGAGCAGAGAAAAAAGATCTTGTTCCGTACTCCTCACAAAATGAGACATCTGTTTTCAGGATAGGTTGCTTCCCTCCTTTCTTCCTTTTTTATTCCTTCCTTCATTTCACAGACTGAGATGAAATGCCATCTTTCTCTTCTCTGAGGAATCCTGGAACTTGGATTTTACCATTCACCAGTTCTATGATTATTTGATGTTTATGCTTTTCTTTACTGCCTTCATTATTTTCACATTGCCTAGTTTTAAAATGTGTATGTTTATCCTTATATGGGCTCCATATTTAAGAAAATAGTTTCTTTGATCTTGGAGTTTCCTCTCTTGTCTTCCACGAGTAGAATTTTCCAGTGAGGAAGCTACATCCATTGTTTCCATGTTTGCACTCAATGTTCTGCCTTCCTCAACCATTATCATAATGAAACTTCCTCTTTCAGGTTTTCCAGTGACGCCTTTCTTGGTAATTCAGTGGCCGCTTTACTTATTTTTTCAGTTTGGTTGGTTTTATTGCTAAGGAAGCCAATATTCAGAACGGCAAAAGTACCCAAGTAATACAGGAAATAAATGACAAAGGCAGGAATTAAATTCAGGAATCTCTAGGCTAGAATACCTTTGCTTACTCTTCTATCATATCTCAGTATGTGATCTTTCTATTTTGCACTTTTCCTGTTGCTTCTTTCTCCTGTCTCTAAATACAAACATTTGATGAATTCTCAATTCTTAGCTCTCTACATTTCATGGTTGTAACCAACATTTATTGAGTGCTGACTATGAATAGGTTTATGTGCTATATCATGTGATATGGTTTGGCTGTGTTTCCACCAAATCTCTTCTTGAATTGTAGCTCCCATAATCCCCACATGTCAGGGGAGGGACCTGGTGCGAGTTAATTAAATCATGAAGGCAAGTTTTTCCCTTGTTGTTCTTGTGTTAGTGAATAAGCCTCATGACAACTGATGGTTTTATAAAAGGGCATTTCTCCTGCACACACTCTCTTGCCTGCCACCATGTAAGATGTGCCTTTGCTCTTTCTTCACCTTTGCCATGATTGTGAGGCCTCCCCAGCCATGTGTAACTGTGAGTCCATTAAACCTCTTTTACATTATAAATTACCCAGTTGTGGGTATTTCTTTGTAGCAGTATGAAAATTGACTAATACACCATGTTATTAAATTTCCTCAACAATCTAATGCAATATTTTTTTCCCAGTTGTACAGATGAGCAAGTTAAGGCTAAAGAAATTAAATGACAACTTAAAGTTATCCCAAAGTCCTTTCTTAAATGCTTGTTTATTGGATTTAATTTAATGTTTGTGATTATAAGGTAGTTTGTGCTCTTTGTGACAAGTAAAACAGTTCAAGATTCCCAAGTTAATGGCCTGGTGTATTTTCTTTCCATATCTTCCTCCATGCAAGCAAACATATACATGCATATACCCACATATTTAGGTTGTTTATATTTAATTTTATAAAAATATGTGTAATAATGTTGAATACAGTACGCTGTAACTTGCCTACCCAACTTAAAAATAAATTACACACTTCATTTCTGATTGTCTTAACTCTTTCTGTTTTTTAATAGTTGGGTATTAGTTCACAATGTGACTATCAAAAATTTATCTCCATTAGCATTCAAGTAGTTTCTAGATTTTTCTACTTCAGGCTGCCTCCAATAACCTTATTATACATAAATTTAGCATTTATGTATAATAAATTTGTATGTATATATAAATGTATTTATGTATTTTTAAAGGATGTACTCCCAAAATACAGATTACTGGGACACTCCTTTGTGCCTACATGTCTTCTCAAAAAATTTGTGACTACACATAATTTTATTAATAAAGTATGAAAATATCTGTTTCATTGTGTTCCTGCTGATACTGGATGTTATCATTCTTTTGATTTTTGCCTAGACTATGTGAAAATTTGTACACCATGCTTGTTTTAATTTTCTTTTGACTATATTCCTGTTATTAATGATTGGTGTGTTCTCTCTTTTATCTTTGTCAGTCTTGCTAGAAATTCATCAAATGTATTTTTGTAAGAACCGGTTTTTAAAAATAAATTTTCTCTATTCCCTGTTTTTAATTAATTTATGTTCTGATCTTTATTACTTCCTTTCTGCTTCCTGCTTTGAGTTTATCTTCTCTTATTTTTCTAGTTTTTTTTCATGAGAACAGTGTTGTAATATCATTTTCCTAGTTTCTTGAGGCAAAAACTTAGATTATTGATTTGAGAGCTTTCTTCTTATCTAATGTAAGGATTTAGTGCTATAAATTTCCCTTAGCGCTGCTTTGACTGTGTCCCATAGATTTTGATATGTTATCTTTTCATTTTTCTTCAGTTCTATGTTTTTAAAATTTTTTCTTTGAGGCGTTCTCTTTGATCCACTGATTATTTAGTAGTGGTGTTGTTTAATCCTCAAGTGTTTGGAGATGTTTTAGTTGCTCTTTTGTTATTGCTTTCCAGTCGTATTCGTGATGATCAGGGAACATAGTCAGTGTGATTTTAATTCTTTTAAATGTACTGAGACTTGTTTTATCACTCACGATATAGCCTATTTTGGTGAATGTTTCATGGGTGGCTGAAAAAAGCATGTATACTACTCTTGCTGGTTGGAATGTTCTATGTATATTTTATTCTACTGGTTGATTTATGTTGGTTAGTTTTATATATTTGTTGATTATATATATTGCTCTATTAATTGCTAGTTCTACTAATTTCTGAGTAGGGGTGTGAAGATTCCATACCATGATTATGAATTTTTGTATTTCTTGTCTTGGCTTTATCCATTTTAGCTTCATGTATGTTGTAGCTCTGTTGATTGGTATGTAACCTTCAGAACCGTTATGTACTACTGGAGAATTCTGCCTCTTATTATGTAATGTCTTTCTTTATCTCTAGTAATATTTTTGTTCTGAAGTCTACTTTATCTGATACTACTATAAATACTCCTTTTATTTTTTACTTGGTATTAATGTTTACATGTTCTTGTTTTTATTCCTTTACCTTTATCCAACCTATATCATTGTCTTTGAAGAGTTTCATGTAGGTCATATATTGCTGGATCATATTCTTTGTTTTTTAATCCTATCTGTCAGTCTCAATATTTTAGATGGTATTTTATTCCATTTTTACTTAAAGCATTTATTATGAGAGGACTTATGTCTGCTATTTTATTTGTTATATCTTCACTTTTGTTTCAGGTTTCTCTGTTTATGTTTTATTTCATTCCGGCGGGTAATTAAACAATTTTTAGGATTCCATCATAATTTATTTGTAATATTCTTTAAAAATAAATATTCTTTAGTACTGAGGTAGGAGGCAGGTGGGACTTGATCCAGACCAGACTAAAAACTGGCCAAAACCAGGAAGAGACACCAAAAGCACCTCTCCATAAGTCATGTCCACCAGTGCCATGATACTTTACCATTGCCATAGCAACCTCTGGAAGTTACTGCCTCTTGGCACAGCTACATCTGGAAGTTAATGCCCATTTCTAGTTATCCTGAATAACCCACCCCTTAGTTAGCATGACATTAAAATTAAAAGTGGGTATCAATATGACTATGAAGCTGTTCTAGGCTGCCGCTCTCAGCATACAACCTATGGGGTAGCCCTGCTCTGTAGGAGCAGTCACAGAGCTGTAACACTGCCACCGCCTCAATAAAGCTGTTTTCTCCTCCCACCAGCTTGTTGAATTCCTTCCCAGGCAAAGCCAAGAATTTGTCCTGCATCAGTGGCAAGGTAGCCAGGAGGGAAGAGGAGATGGCAAGAGAGATAGCAAGAGACAGAGAGAAAGTGAGACAGCTATTGGTGCTACTGCAATCGAAGCTGCAGAGCAGCTAATGCTGTAATGCTGTAGAGCTGTAATCATTTTGGCTCCCGCAAATGAGTGAGTGTCCCCTACTGTCCACAATCCCATGATAGTGAGAGAGCCAAAGACTAAGACCTCTGGCCCTAAAGTACATCTTGTCACCTCTTCCCTGAGTCCTTTCTCCTATGATTCCATTGTATTGATCTGCCAGCCATTTTATTTTTAGGCCTAAAATATACGTTTTGTTTGTAGCTGCTGTTTTTGTTGTTGTTGTTTTTGTTCTTTTGAGATGGAGTCTTGCTCTGTGGCCCAGGCTGGAGTGCAGTGGCACAATCTTGGCTCATTGCAACCTCCACCTTCCGGGTTCAAGCGATTCTCCTGCCTCAGTCTCCCTTGTAGCTGGGGACTACAGGAGCACACCACCATGCCTGGCTAATTTTTTGTATTTTTAGTAGAGATGGGGTTTCAACATGTTGGCCAGTCTGGCCTCAAACTCCTGACCTCAAGTGATCTGCCCGCCTTGGCCTCCCAAACTGCTGGGATTACAGGTGTGAGCCACGGTGCCTGGCCTGTTTGTCACTTTTTTTTCGCTTTGACTTTCTGTTAACTGTATTAGGCCAATTGTTTAAGGCAGGACACTTGACGGTGATAGGTCCACTTTTGTATTGACTCTGGGATGCCAGAGTCACATTGTTCTGTGACTCCAACTTGGCCTTGGGTTCACTGTTGGCTGCCCCCCAGATTCCCTGGGGTTTTTGTTACTTGGTGGGGAGATCCTTGTTTGTGGATACATGGATACTCTGGATTTTTCAGCATTGGTACTGTTGGCTACCTCCCAGATGCTCTGGGGTTTTCAGCACTGACATTCCTTCTAAGATTGTGAGTTATAGCCTGCGATCTTGGTCTCATATTTTCTGCCCTGAAGTTAGAAGTTATTATTTTTCTAACAGCCACTTGTGGGCCCCTTCCCATGTGTTGTCTTCCTTTCTGCCTTGCTCAAGCCCATCTTAGCCAAAGGGACTAGGAATGTCAAACTCTGGCCTGACTGACGAACAACTACCTGGTGGTTGAAAAGCGGCTGCCTGAATATTTTTTGTGTGTTTCTTCTGCTGGGTAGATTCTCTGGCGAGTTAGGGTCTCTGAGGTCTCCCCTTGGGCAGAACTTCTCACCCCTTTCCTTCATCCCTTTCACAATCACCTTCTGTTTACCTCCTCTCTCCCCAAATTAAGATACTTGGGAATTCAGGCTCATTATTCTACTATGCATTCATTTTCCATAGTCCCCTTTCATAATTCCTTGCTGTTTATACTTTTCTTTGCAGAAAGTGAGAATTTAAAAAGGGAAAAGTAACTAGGCATTCACTAGACTTAGGCTAACTCAAACCTTCCTGTAGATATCCTTATTAGACATGGGAACAATAGTGAGCATCCTGAAGGACTCACCACTAGGGTGTCTTTTAGGCAATTGGAGAAAATTCAAAGTAGACAGTATGAAGAAGAAAACACTCGTTTTCTGTTGCAACACTCTTGGGTCCAACACAAATTGGTGAACCAACAGATTTGGCCTGGATGTGGTTGTTTACCTTATAATGTTACTTTACAATTAGGCTTGTTCTGTAAAAAGAAAGAAAAATAGGGAGATATTCCTTATGTGTAGGCTTTTATGGCCCTCTAGCAGGATACTGACCTCAGGGACAGCTATAGAATGTGTCTGGCTCATGATGCTCCTAGCATAACTGCCAGATATCCTAGATGAACCCCTCCTAGCTGCTACCTGTAGAAGGCCTGCACCCCCCTCAGAGCCTCTTAGTCCCCTGGTTCTGAGTAGGGCCCTGCCAGTTTTATAGTGCAAGATTCCACCCCAAGGTCACCAGGCATCCTTCCCCTTTATCCAACAAAGTCTAGCCTACGTCCTTCACTGCCCAAAGAAGCAAGCCCAACCAGTGCCACTAGGAGTGGGGCCCCATATCAGCCCCCAAAATCAAACCTGTATCCATTGTGGGAGGTAACTGACAGAGATGGAGGAACAATCAGAGTAGATATATGCCTTTTCCCATGTCCAATTTGACTTTATGCAAGAGAAAGTTTGGCTGCTTTATGGAGGCTCCAGGGAAGTTTGTAGAGGAATTTAAGTTGACCATGTCTTTTGATTTAAATTGGCATGACATGCAAATATTATTAAACTTGCTGTACCAAACAAGTTATAGCAAGTGGGTAATAATATGCAAGGAAAAACAAAGGATTCTAGGAGCTGCTTGTGACCATGCCGATAGCGTGGCTGCTCATAATCAAGGCCACACCATTTACTTGTAGAAGGAGATACAGTTCCAGATCTAGACACTCAATGAGATTATTAGAGGAGTTTCCAAGATCTTGAACACAGAAATCATATGCTAATTTGTTTAATAGAAGGTATGAAAAAATGTGCAGTTAAGCCGGTTAATTATGACAAGGTGAGATAAATAACTCAGAGGAAAGATGAAAATCCCACTCTATTCCAGGTCTGCTTCCCTTGAGGCCCTCGGGAAATATTCTAATCTAGACCCAGACTCCCTAGAAGGGTGAGCTCTCCTGTGTGTGCCTTTTATTAGTCTATCTGCCTCTGATGTTAGAAGGCAGTTATAAAAGGCAGCAATGGGATCTCAAATCTCCATGAGCCAACTCTTAAACGTGACCTTTGGGGTTTATAACAACAGAGAAAGCACAAAAGTAGAGGTGAAAACCAAAAGAAGTGCAATTGTTAGCAGCTGCTTTAAGTCCCCTGCTGCCTCAGGGTTACCTATCCTGAGAAAATGCAGTAAGATCAGCATCTGTGATGCCCAGATGAGAACTCATGACTTGCCAGCCCTTAGGACAAAATTAGTGTGTCTTCTATACAACAAGAGGGGCACTGGAAGAAGAATTCCCTCAGGCTTAAAAGGGAGTCTGAGCCATCCAGATCCATGATGGCCAAGAGAATAGAGGACTAATGTGGCCTGAGGTTCTCTACAACTTCCACTGGATACCTTACCATCTCCAGAGGGCCCTTGGGCAACCTTTGATGTGGCAGGCAAAAATACTGAGTTCTTATTCAATATGAGTGCAACCTACTCAGTTCTGACCCATTTCTTAGGGCTACTGTCTTCTTGCTCTTGTACTATAACAGGGATTGATGGCTAGACGAAAGTGAGGAGATTCACTCACCCTCATGGTCATATTGTCAGGTACCATATGTTTTCCCACAGATTTTTGCTTATGCCTGAGTACCTCATCCATCTACTGGGAAGAGACTTACAGTCTGTAAGTCTCTTCCCAGTAAATGTAAGTCTTCCCATTTACTGGGAAGAGATTACAGGCTGCAGTTCAATTTGGAGAGCCTTGTAAGAAGGAAACGGGCCAGAAGGGAACACTTCTTCTAGCTCTAAGTACAGGCCTTATCACAAATAAGGAAAAGTGAGCAGACACAGTGGTTCATGGCTATAATCCTAGCACTTTAGGAAATTGAGGTAGGTGAATTGCTTGGGCCTTGGAGTTCAAGACCAGCCTTGGCAACTTGGTAAAACACTGTCTCTACAAAAAGTTCACACAAAATATTAGCTGGGCATGGTGGCATGCACCTGTACTACCAGCTACTAAGGAGGCTAAGGTGGGATGATCACCTGAGCCTGGGAAGTTGAGGCTGCAGTGAGCCAAGATCGTGCCACTGTACTCCAGCCTGGGTGACTGGAAAGAGACTCTGTCTCAAAGAAAGAAAAAAGGCTGGGCGCGGTGGCTCACGCCTGTAATCCCAGCACTTTGGGAGGTTGAGGCAGGTGGATCATGAGGTCAGAAGATCAAGACCACCCTGGCCTACATGGTGAAACTCTGTCTCTACTAAAATATTAAAAAAAGTAGCCTGGTGTGGCGATGCACTCCTGTAGTCCCAGCTGCTCAGGAGGCTGAGGCAGGGGAATTGCTTGAACCTAGGAGGCAGAGGTTGCTGTGAGCTGAGATTGCACCACTGCACTCCAGCCTGAGACACAGCAAGACTCCATTTCAAAAAAAAAAAACCAGATAAGGAAAAGACCTCCCTTCATGACATAGTGCTTCTCAAGTAGACCCCTCTGTTTGGGGCATGGAAGTTCCTGGTAGAGCTATTAATGTACCCCAGTCCAGGTTGTTTTAAAATCCATTGTTAATTAGCCATGGTAAAAACAGTATCCATTGAGACCTGAGGCTCAGAGGGGCATCCAGTCCCTGATAACAAAGTACTTAAAGTATAGATTACTACAATCCTGTCAGTCCCCATGAAAGATCCTGTCAAAGTCAATCATAACCAAAAAGGAAGGGTCTGTATCAAGCAGGTTGATTACTGCTTCCACCCTGCTGTCAAACTTCAGGGAATAACTATTTAGTTACACATGTCCAGGATAAAACCTGTTTCTTATGAGTTGCAGACACAAAGGGAGGTCACCACCACTTATATCTGTGAACCTTTGGAAGACCTCTGCTACCTATTTAAAAGAATTAACACTTAGCTAGAAGTGGTAAGCAGATACTGTGGGTGGGAATGCTTTTCTCTTCTTCCTGATTGTAGGGCTTTTTTTTTTTTTTTTTTTTTTCAATTGTTTGGATCAACTGTCTCCTCCTAGGAAACACCTCTTTTGTCCTTGTTGGGCATAACGGGCACTCTAAGGCCCAAATGGACACTGTGCTGCCACTGTTAATCCTGTTTGCTCTCCCAATTAACCTAATCCAGTGTGGTGGGTAGGAACAAAATCATATAGTAAATATTTCAAAAATTATAGCATCAGGGAATCCTCCTCATAGTTGCTAGATTTGTCACCAATATCCCCAGATAGAGAGTTCCACCTTCTGGCTCTTCCAGAAAATCTCATGGCAATTTCTCCAGACCTGCTAACTAACCATAGTGTTGTCAAAGTACTCAGACCTCTATGTGTTAGCTGGAACTCTTCCCTGCTTAATGCGTTCCATATTAAGCACATTTACAGTATTCCACATTGCCACTATTACCTGCACCTAGGAAGGTAAGTATATATATCTCCAGTGTACTAATGATTCTATCTTTTGCACCCCATGTTGTGTTAATGATGCAAAAGCAGAAGTTTCTCTGCAATGCTCCGATCCAATTCTAGTTGCGAAGTTCTCAAGGCTATAGCACGGTAAATGGGATTTCACTTGTGAGAAAGGAAACTGTATATGGTGCTTTCTCCTGGATCAGAACATACAGGGGAAAAACAACTGCCTAATCTGGGAAGGTGGGAGTATCACCCCCCTCTGGAAACAAGGATTGTTCGACTACCCTCATTGGAGCATGGGAAGAATATCTCCGTAGACCCAACTTGGCAGTGATGGATAGGCATCACACCCCCCAGGGCCTCTATTTGTGCCTCAACTGGGCCCGTTTCTGTTTGTGGCCATGAGTGGCAAGAAGTTACACCCATAACTACTTCTAATTCCTAAGGAAGCCACCTGTTCTTTGGGGAATAGCTTTCCTTCGTATATAAAAATCTTGGAATGGGGTGAATGTACATTGGCCACCCTTACCCTTCCAGGGGTAACCGTCTATAACCACATAAGAATCAGGAATACTAGAAATAAATGAGCAATAGGATTAATTCTGGCGGGAATCAGGGAGCCAATAGGATTAGCAGCCCCCAGGGTTGGCTTTTCCTATCATGAGTGAACTCTAAAGAACTTGACTCAAAGCCTAGAATCGTTAGCTACCAACACAGGTCAGGCATTGAAGTTAATTCAAGAATCCCTAGACTCTGGCAAATGTGGTCCTCAAGAACAGACTAGCATTGGATTGTTTACTAGCTGAACGAGGTGGAGTCTGTGCAGTTGTTAATAAAACCTGCTGTACATATATTGACAACTCTGGACAGGCTGAGGTTAATATTCAAAAGATCTAAGAGCAAGCTACCTGGTTAGATAGATCGAACCAGGAAATGACTCCAACTATATCTGCTTGACTATCAAAAATGCCCTCCCAATTCTCACCTGGTTTTTCCCTCTCCTAGGATGTTTGATAGCTATCTTGTTATTACTAATTTTTGGCCCTTGCTTGTTTTACCTCATAGTAAAACTTGTGTATTCTAGATTGCAACAGTTGTATGTAAAAACAATGCTGGCACAAGGCTTCCATCCCATTCCATCTTCTGACCCAAAGAATGAAAGCATCCTGCCTTTGGTCACCTTAGATCTAGTATCCAGAGATTTTTACTCATCCAGTGTTGGGCAGGGCCTACACCCAAAAAATCTCCAGGAAGGAGTTACAGAAGATGGAGCTCTGCCCTTCTCAGCCCCCTTAAGATTAAGGAGTATGTAGTCTCTGAGGAGGCAATGAAGTGGGAGGTAGTGGGGACTTGACTCCAGACCAGATGGAAGACACCTGAACCAGGAAGAGGCACCAAAAGCACCTCTCCGTAAGACATGCCCATCAGTGCCATGACAGTTTACCATTGCTATAGCAATACCCAGAAGTTACCACTCATTGCCATGACAAAACCTGAAAGTTACCACTCATTTTCTAGCTATTTCTGAATGTCCCGCCCCTTAATTAGCATGTCATTAAAAGTGGGTATAAATATGGGCAAAAACTTACCCCTAGGCTGCTACTCCAAGTGTACTACCTATGAGGTAGCCCTGTTTCGTAGGAGCGGCCACGGAGCTGTAACACTGCTGCTGCCTCAACAAAACTCTTCTACTACTGGCTTGCTCTTGAGTTCCTTCCTGGGTGAAGCCAAGAACTTGTCTTGCATCAGTATCATTTTGTATAATTTTCACAGTGGTTGTTATAGAACACATATACACATAGCAGATAAGTTGTAAGTATATAACTTAAGGAAGTCTCCTCGTATCAAGAGTTTACCACTTCAAGTGAAATGTAGAATTCTTATTTTGAATATTATACTTTTGAGTATCAGATTGTTATTACTTTGCTTCAGTCATTAACTATGACTTGTAAACTCATGACATCAGGGAGGGAGGGAAAATAGAATGCAGAAGATTTATAACTCATACTACCTCATTCAACCTTGTGGGTTCGGAGTGAGTCCTTGCTCATGTTTGCCTCTTTGCCAGGCCTTAAGCTGAGTGGAAAGAGTGAAGCCAGTGGTGACTAACTTCAGATCATACTGCCTCCTTACATTTGGATGCTTCCAGATAGGTATGTAGGCACACCATGCTGCTGGACCCCACTGCCACTAACCTGGCAGGAAAATCACACCACTGCCTACTTTGGATGGATGAGGGTTGGAAGATGAGCTTCCAGCTCAGACCATGACTATTTGCCTGGCAGAGGAATAAAAGAATAGCCTGCATCCACCAAGCAGGGAACAGAAGATCTGTTCCCTGTTTAGTCAGTGATTACCATCCATCTAGAGAATGGGAGCACAGCCTGGTTCTTCTAGGCAGGGGATGGAACATTAGTTTACTGCTTGGACATTGGGCTGGAGAATCAAAGCAGGTTGTTTACACCTGTGGGCAGGAGAATCGCAGGGAAGATCAGTTCTCTGGTCACACCACTGACACTGTGATTTTTCCATTGGTGTTTGGCAGGAGTTGGGCTGGTATTGCCAAAAAGGTTTTCTCTTATCAGATTATCCTTTCTCAGGTCTTTGGCTAGGGGAACAGGTTTTTCTAATACCATCTATTTATTTATTTAGTGCCTGTGGCAGTTTCAGCTTAGCTTGGAGGCTTCTGGAGTGCCCTTTCAGGGATACGTTTGAAGTAACAAGAAAACTCAAGGGCTCACTGTTATTTAGTTTCCTCAAATCCTGAGGTTCCTGGGCATTCTGCTGTCTTCTTTCCACCTTTCAGAATTTCCTATGCTTGTTTGTTCTGTTATGTGCAAGGGTTTTTAGGTGTTAGAGTGAAGACGTGAGAGGAATGAGGCTATTCTCTCTTTGCTGGAACCAGATCTCATCACCCACTTTAATTCTAAGAACCTTAGAATTACTGTATGTTCCAGTTTGTAAGGGACACTTAGATTTACTTCTTTTTTCCTAGTTTTTGAGTGTCTCACTTTAATCTCAACAGTATCCCAGTATGAAAACAATTTATACGGTCTCCATAACATAATGTTCATCTCTCTCTACATTTTATATAGGGAATCTAAACATATTATTTACCTCAAATATCACTTCAAATATACATCTTCATAAATGACTTTCAACAAAGCTCAAATGCTAAACTTATATTTCCCAGGTAGATGTTTCCAATAAGACATTTCATAGTTCTATTATAGTTTACCTTTCCCGTAACATGTCTTCCTTTGACCTCCCTATTTTTATGAATATTCTAATGTTCTCTCAGTTATGGAACCTTACAATCATTTTTCGCTCCTCTGTCTCCTCCATCCTCTGTTCTAGCAAGTCTGCAAGTACTGTTGGTTCATTCTTGGAAATAGTTGATTCATTCTTGGAAATCACTGATGTGACTTCTTCTCCTTCAATCATTTTTATATATCCTTATTAAATTCCATTATTAAAATGATCCTCTCATTTAGATAAAGAAATCTAAGTATTGTTAAATTATTTACACAAATATTATAGTATCAAAACCATAATGAAAAATCAATTAAAAATATCAGAAATGTAGAAATGCAAATTGGCTGTTGGAAGCTTAAACATTTTCTGCTAAAGTTTCAAGTAAATTTTTATATAACATTAAAGTTGTTTCATTGATAAATTTCTAGTACTTCCCTGGCATAGAGTATATTTTTCTTTTCATTGCTTGTGAAATTGCTCTTATATCTGTGACTCTGGTGTATTTATATGATGTCTTTTTTAGGAACACTTATCTTTATGTCAGATGACCTTTCTCTGATTTCCATATCTGTTATTGTATTAGTCTGTTTTCACATTGCTGATAAAAACATACCAGAGACTGGGAAGAAAAAGAGGTTTAAGAGCTTCACAGTTCCACGTGGCTGGGGAGGCCTCACAATCATGGTGGAAGGCAAAAGCCACTTCTTACCTGGCAGTGGCAAGAGAGAATGAGAGAGAAGTGAAAGTGGAAGCCCCTGATAAACCCATCAGATCTCGTGAGACTTATTCACTACCAAGAGAACAATAAGGGGAAAATCACCCCCATGATTCAATTATCTCCCACCAGGTCCCTCCCATAACACCTGGGAATTATGGGAGCTACAATTCAAGGTGAGATTTGGGTGGGGAGATAGCCAAACCATATCAGTTATCTTTTGCGTAATTTCTTAAATTTTATTATTAACAATTAATACAGTATGTTTTTATAATGGAAATTCTTAAACTGTAGGTTTGAACACACAAGCAAGAGTAGCACAATGTAAAATGAATTAAGATTATGTAGTTTTTCTCTCTTAAATCTTGGGATTGCTGTCGTGGCATACAAATTTGTCATTATGGACATTTATACTGTAGGTTTAAATATGTATATATGAAAGTGCACACTTACACACACATTGTTGCTGTAGTCTTTAATACCTTAGTGCTTTATGCTGGCCAATCATGGCTAAATTATTTAAACAAGCAATATTTTCTACTGGTAGTTGATGACAGAGGAAAGAACGTAGATAAAAGCAGCCACAAAGAGACCTCTAGGAGTCACTGTGTTCCTCAAAGAGTGTATATGTTGTTTCACATACACCTTCTTGAATACTGAACATATGCCCCTTAAATGCAAATGTTCATTGGTTTGTAGGAGAAGTATAATGATTTTAGTAAAAAGAGTATTCAAATATACTTTCACAATCATATTTGTCTTCAGAAACTTAAACCTTGGTGCTTTAAAGAGTGCTGAATTTGGCTTATGTTTTAGGATGAAGTTCACTTACCTTTAAATTAGCTGTGCTTCAATTCATCGCATGTTTTTATGTCCACAGGGAACTGACAAAATCTGGAATAATGTTTTGTTCTTCCACTCCCTAATTCTAATTAGAATGTCCTCATTCTTCACTCTTCTGAGGGAATGTAGCATATAAACTTGAAGTTACAGACTATTAATAAACTATGTTTAGCTGTTATTCTCACACCCCATATGCATAAATTGGAGAAAATAAGGAGTTTTGCTGAACTTGGATTTTTTAATTAGTTTTCTCTTCACTCTATTGGTCTGTTGAAAACTGCAAGTTGACTCGGTCCTCCGCCCCATTGCTCAGGGGCTGCCTTCAGTTATTTAAGTTTATGGAGCATCCTTGACCATGTAACTATGAGCTGAGATAGCTCTATAGAGTTTCTGTCCTGGTTCTGAAATATTTACCCCAGAGACCACTTCAAAATTACTTTCTTAAAGTAAGATCTCAAAGACTAACCCAAAACACCCCTTGGACAATTTTTTAAAGAACCAGCATCTAGAGAATGAATTAGGAAAATATTCAAATTTTTATTATTGTTTTGGTTTAAACTACTGCATTAGATATCCACTTATTACAGTTTAACCAAAAATAAATCAGCCAAGGGCTCTATTGTTTAGGCTTTTAAATCTCAGTAGGGAAGTCTGAACGTGATAACAATGTACAGACTTGCAATCTTGTCAAGCTTACTCATAAGTTTTCTTAAATGGCAAACCAACAGGTTTATTTGGAGATTTTTAATGAAATTTTTTTCTATCATATCTCTCATGCATGGAATTGTGCCTAAGTTTCAGTCAGTGGATTGTCATTTCAACTTTTTAATTGATGCATACTAAATAGCAATGCTAGAAAAAGCACATTGCACAAATTGGGAAGGCATTACTAAAGGTATATTATGAGAGATATTTTATTTCTTTAGAAAAATTCATACTGCTTTTTTATGGGACAGTTTTCATTCCACCAAAAATATTGATTCAATGATTTGTAAATATTAAACATCTATTACAGCAAGGAACAATACTAATGCCAGCAATAAAATTTTCACAAGATAATAGCCTTTAACTATTTATTTTTCCAGCCTCTGTTAATTCTCCAGTTACAACAAACACAGTTTAATAAAAGAAAACTAAAGGACATGCTGACTAACTAATTCTGAGTCAGTAGTTTGCCACTACCCGTCCAGGGAAATTTACTATATAGTGAATTATTTTATTCATTCTCAAAAAAAAATTGAGAAAATAAATACAAAGGCATAAATTTAAAATAAACATGTTAATTTTATTTGAAGGATGATCATTTATTTTTAAGAGGTTAACTTTACATATCTTTTCTTTATGAAATAATAGTGATAACATAAAATTGTTTTATTTTCATGCCATTATTTAGTAAAATAAAAAGTTGGCAACCTTACACTATTTTTGTAATTTACTTTTAACATTTTTATTGAGATAAGTTGATATACAATAAATGCAGACCCATGTAACTTTGAAGTCAAATTTATATGTTTTTAAAATTAATAGTGCCATTGATGTCATATCTATGAAATTTGTCAAAGGCAAGGTAACAAAGATTTTTCTCCTGTCATTTCTTCTAGAAATGTTATAATTTTACTTTTTAGTTCTGTGTTCTACTTTGTGTTAATTTTATATTGTATGGTGTGAGGTAAGGATCAAATTTCATGTATTTGCTGTGGATATCCAATTGTTCAAGCAACATTTGTTTACAAAGATCATTCTATATTGTATTGCCTTTGTACCCTTGTTGAAGATCAGTTGTTTACACGTGTGATTATATTTCTGGACTCTATATTTTGCTTCATTGATGAGTTTTTTTGTGTTTTTTGCTCATACCACATTGTCTTATTTACTCTACTTTTTTTTGAGATGGAGTCTGTGAATTTAATAATCAGCTAAGTTTTTTAAAGCAGGCTTAGATTTGTATTTGGAATATATTGATTCTATAGATCGATTTGGGAAGAATTGACATCTTAACAATTTTAATTCTTTTGATCCATGAGCACAGTATATCTCTTCATTTATTTGTCTTCCCTAATATTTATGAACTTCATGTAATTTTTAGTATATACATATTTTGTCAGATTTATCCTTAACAATTTTATATTTTTGATGCTTTGGAAATGGTATTGTATTGTTAGTTATATTTTTTCATTCTTTATTGGTATAATATATAAGTACAATTAATTTTTACATTTTAATTGCATATCCTGTAACCTTTCTAAACTCACTTATTCTAGTCATTTATTTGTAGACATTATCAGATTATGTAGACAGATGATCATTTTTTCAATAATTAAAGATGGGTATAATCTGGATGGGTTTTATTTCATTGCCCTGCTTTATTGAATCTGCTAGTGTATCCATTATAATATTGAATAGAAACAGTTATGATGAACACTCCTACTTGTTCCTAACCTTGGTGGGGAAACAATTAGTCTTGTAAGTTTAGCATCATGTTAGCTGTAAGTTTTTTGCAGATGCCTTTAATCAGCTTGAAAACTGTCACTTCTATTTCTAGTCTCCTGAAGGTTTTTTTTAAATCAGGAACCAATATTAAGAATTATTAATTGCTTTGTCTGCAACTATTGAGATATTCACATGCTTTATCTTTATTTTGAGGTTGTTAATATAACATATGATATTGTCTAATTGTAAAATGTCAAACCAATTTATATACTCCACTTCATCATGATATGTCATGTCTTAAAAATATCATTGGATTCAATTTTCTGAAATTATATTTATAATTTTTGCATATATGTTTATAAAAAATAATGATCTTATGTCTTCTTTTAATGTCTTTATCAGGTGTGAGAATCAAGTTACTACTGGCTTCATAGGATGAGTTAAGAGTTAAGAGATATTTTCTCCTCTTTAGTTTTATAAAGAATTTGTGTAGAACTTGTATTATTTCTTTATTAAATATTAGGTATAACTTGTTAGCAAAGCTATTTGGGCCTGGAAGGGGAAATTTTTAACAACAAATTAGATTTCTTTAATAGGTATAGGGCTATCTAGATGATCAGTTCTTCTTGAATGAGTTTGATAGTTTGTGTCTTTTAGCAAATGTGCCATTATATCTAAGTTAAAATGGCATAAAGTAGTTCAAAGTATTTATTTATCTTAATTTTTGAAGAGCCTGTAGTGATGCAACATTTGTTCTTCCTGATATTGGTAACTTCTCTTATGCCCATTTTTCTTCATCTGTGTGCCTTCAGGTTATCAATTTTATTGATATTCTCAAACAGCCAGCTATTTTTTCTCTATTGTTTTCCTGTTTTCTACTTTATTTATATTCAATCTGAAATTTTCAACTACTTTTCTTCTGCTTCTGTGGGTTTAATTTGCTCTTCATTTCTTGGTCCTCAATGTAACAGCTGAGTTTTCTTTTTATTTGGAACTTTTCATATTTCCTAATTTAGGCATTTATTGCTATAAGTTTTCCTATTTGCTTTACTACTTTAGTGGCATCTCACAAATTTTGATACACATTTATATTTTATTTAGTTCAAAATACTTTATAATTTTGTCCTTGCTTTCTACTTTGACCCATGAGTTGTTGAGTATATAATTTAATTTCCAAATATTGGTAAATCTTCAGAAATCTTTTCATAATTGATTTTTTTATTTTTTTAATTTCATTGCAATCAGAGAACATAATTTATGTTACTTGAATAATTTTAATTTTATTGAGACTTGTTTTATGGCTCTAAATGTGATTTATGTTATCTATCATTTATTGGGCAACAACTGTTTGCCTGACATTGTGCTAGGTAGTGGGATTATACTGATAGGAAAATAAAACGCTACTGTATTTTATAGTCTAATAATAGAAATAAATGCAGTTTTTCTTCCTTTCTAATAATGAGTACTTTGTTATATAATGTTAATATCTACCTGTGTATAGATATAGATACGTTTTTGTCAAGTTGTTGGAATTCTGAAAATAAATTAAAATACTTCATTTTAACAGCCACAGTGCTAGCATATTTACTTCTTCTCCTTTCCTTGACCTGAATTAGTAATGTGTTTAAAAATATATTAATTGATATACAACTTTATAGTTTCATCAGCTATCTTTTTTGTGTGTGCTTGATAAGATAAAAAATAATATTTCAGGAGCTCAGGTGGGAAGATCTTGACAAAAACAAATTTTTAAAAAAATTTTTCGTCTTAGAATTCAAAGTACGTAGCATATATAGATATAATTCAAGACTAATGGGTATTATTAGATATCTACTAAATGTGCTATAAGGGACAGAGAAAGAAAAATCAGAGAAAGTTTTATAATCAAGATAACAATTGCCTTCGGCCCAGAGAGCAAAAGATACTAATAAGTGCTTTTTAAAACAGAGAGTTGCTTAAATCATAGATGTAATAAGCACAGCCTTAGAATAAAATATATTTATGGTCCTGGCTGTATTAATTAATAACTATGTGATATTGGACAAGTTTTTAACGTCTCTGAGCCTCATTTTGCACATTTTAAAAATTGGGAAATAACATCCATCTTTCAGAAGTGTTGTGAAATGTAATAATGCTACATTTAAAGCATTTGAAATAGTGTTTGTCTTATAGGCACTCAATAAAAATTAGCATTTGCATGTGTATGATGTCAGAGTTGTATTCTAGTAAGCTTAATCTTCATGCAATATATGAGATTGCTTGGTGGTCGAGTAGGTAGGAGAAGTCAGGATAGGGGAAAATTACAAAGCTTAGGAAAAAAAATTATGACATAAAAATGGCGAATAAATAGAAAACAAGTGGATAAGCAGAACCCCCCAGAGGCAGTGTTAGCCTGTTGCTGAGGTCCTACTATGTTCCAAGCACGCTACATGTAGCAGTCTGGGTCCAATCAGAAGACAGAAACCGTATAGTAAGTTAGACAGGAAAGTTTAATATAACAATCTTTAACTATGATAAAAGAGTAACTATGAGATATAAGAAAGCCCTATGTATTGACACCATAAAGCTGCAGGAGAGTACCTAGGGAAGTACAAACTTGGAAGAGGTTCAGACTTTGCTGGAAACGGTGTGGTTTAGTCTACAAGTTAGCAGAGAAGTTGATTGATTTGGCTGGGTTGGTCTGGAGTTGTTGGGTGGAAAATAGGCAATACTCCAGAATCCAGGTGGTGTTGCAGGTGACCAGAAATTGGTGGTATAGGTGTGCAGTGGAAACCTAGGCGTTAGTGGAGGCAAAAGGTCTTTATAGCATATGGGTCATGTGGGAGTATGTAGGTGCCAGCTGAGCCAGGAGGCCTTGAGATTATGTCCTCTGCCTGGGAGCTCTGCTTTCTATGTGTTATCAAAAGGCTGAGGCTGCCAGGTTGTGGAGGATTGTGTTTTGGGTGTATGGCTGAGCAGTGTTCCATAGGATGTCCTTACATCCACACCACTTAGCCCCTGCCCACATTGGAAAATGCAGAAGAGGCTCTTCCTTCTGTTATGTCCCTCAAGCAGCCTCTGCGGGAGCTTAACATCATGTTCACTTTAAAGGGGAGATGCTTAAGGAACTCCAGTGCTTATCACAGTGTATATATTAAAGAGGGCATATGGAGTGGAGAGGAAATAAGTTGCTAATTGACACCCTACCACACGATGATACAATGTTGAGCAAGATAGGATTTTGTATTAGACTTTATGGTTGAGGAAAGTGAACCTATACTGAGAAAGCTTTTGAGTGACCGGTCATCCATATGAGTTCCTGCATTTTTTTTTTTTACCACTATGAGGAAAAGGAAAAGCAAATGAAAATAATATCACAGAGAAATTTCTTGGTAGGACATTTCTTAATTTTAGAAAGCCGGGATGTTCTTGAAGCCACGATTTTTTAAAAGATGTCTTTTTTTTCTCTTCTCCAGAAAACTTCCTTAATCATGGTAAAAAAAACAAAACAAAACAAAAACAAAAAAACACCAAAAATTTCTTACTCTGGGAGAAAAAATGGTTCTCCTCACATTAAAATTCCAAGTTGCTCAAAGGGCATGATCCTGATTAGATTTTAAAAGGGGTAGGACTGTTTTCTCCCTGGGTGAATTTTGTACTTCTCTCCACCTCCATATCATAAATATAGGACTGCATTTTAATCTTCAGGTCATATCCTATTTTAAAATGTGAAAGTAAAAATGGTACTTTAAAATTGTTAAGAAATATGCTTGTTTAGATTCGATGTATCTTTTGGGGTATGAAAAGGAGACTTTAAAACATTTCTGAGAAAGGTGGCAGTTCAAGGCTTATGAAGCCATCCATAGAAAGAACTAGCTTACAATCAGACTTGAAGTCTGAACAAAGGCTTTGCTATTTTTAGGATCCTTTACTCCATTTAGTGGCAGGAATGGAAGCTGGGGGGAACACTATGGGTGGATCATGAGCTGCTCCACACAGAGATTAGCTCCCAGAAGGCTGCATTGACTGGAACAATTTTGTTATAAATGTAAGGAGATGTTTGAGAGCATGCTAGAGAGCAATTGATTCCCATTTGGGCCTCATATCTTAAATCTTGAAAAATGAGTTCCTCTTGCTGGCATCTGTTATGAATGATTTACAAATGTTAGCCATGACATAATGTTGCCAATAAAGTAGGGCATCTTTTTAGGCTGTGGTTCACATTTCTGTGTCCTTAAGATACTGTTTCAACAAAGAGATGCAGGGTGTTATTTTATCCTGCCAAAAATATTGCAGCTGATGGAGACAGCTGTAGGCTTTTGCCCTTGCAAACTCCAGAACCCAAATTAGATTAAGTCTTGATGATATAATGTACATGCAACTAAAATTAATCTAGGAACAACCATGAGACATGGAGCAGGCAGATTCTGACCCTTCCAATTATGGAGCAGGCAGATTCTGACCCTTCCAATTCAAGAAAACGTCAACATGGATAGAAGGCTTTTTATGTCTCATTTATGTTTACCTCCCAACATTATGAGACTCCAAGAGTGCAGGACTCCATGATTGCACCAGCTCTCTTACTGCTGGCATTTTCATTCTTGAGTGCAGGTTTGCAAATCTTCATTTTCTCATAAAGCTAAACTGTAGTTTTCTGAGACACTCTTCATAAACCGTTACTCAAATGTTCTTTCAGCCCTGGTCTTGTGCCTTTTGACCTACTGATATTCTTTCTTCTTTATTATAATGGCCATAGTGTCATTGCCTGCATTTCTCCCGGCCAGTCACATCCTCAAGCACCTCAGCAGATAACCTAGTATTCTGCATATACCCAAACATCAGCAGAAGCTCTATTTTGGTGCTAGACTCAGGAGAATAAGTGGCAATAAATGGGATTTTTATCACTGGCCCATTATCAAGGCATAAACTCTCCTGGCCTATCATTTTAAACCTCAGGAAATAAAAGTCTCTCCTTTTCAAAAGAAAAAAATAGGTAGATAATAAAAAGTATAGATAAAAGAAAATTCCTAACCTCAAGCTTCTGAGATTTGACATCCTCTTCAACTGTTGCTTCAATAGCTGGTTACATTGTTAGAGCCATCTCTCCTTGAATATGAAATCCACTATTCAAGGACATGTTGTTCTGCCTCAAGCAAAGCACCAAGGACAGAGCAGTCACTGAACAAATTCAAAAATACATTTGGTGCTAGTATTCATTTATGTGTGTATATATATATTTTTATATATGTGTGTGTGTATATGTACATATATTCGTTATATTTATATATATAAATGAATACTAGCACCAAGTGCATATATATGTGTGTGTATATATGTTTATATATGAGATATATATATATATATATATATATATATATATATACACACATATATTTCTTAAGTTTTGCCTTAGATTATAAAATAGTGAGTTAACTAATAGCTTCCCAGGCAGGGTTGATGGCTCAGTCCTGACTAGCCATGTATTTTCAGTTCATGTACTGCCATGAAGTTCAAGATAGATATCAAATAGGTCTTTACATCAGATTTTTGGAGAAAGACTTAGTTTCTGCCTAATGAGCCTTTCCTGCAGTTCCTAAAGGTGGGAAACTTTGGGGCCTGCTTAGAAGCTGAAAAGTATCGCTGATAATTGACAAATGTTAGTTTCTTTAGTAAATATTTGAACTAAATCCTTTATGGAAAACAATTTATTCTTTTCAACTTAATCCTTTATGGAAAACAATATTCTTTTCAACTTACAACTTATGTTCAGAAAACTTCTGCCTGTCCATCAACAGTTGAGTACAGATTTGTAAGTAGTGAATGCTTAGCGTTTTCCTGTCAGGTAAATCATAAGAGAAAAATGCCTTTTCTTACTGAAGAATCTACAGATTTATTAAATAACAAATTGATAATAAGGATGTATTTACAAGTAATATCCAAATAATAGCCAGTTGCAATTTAGCACCTCCAGTTTCAGTGGGAAGTGATGTGTCAGCAGAATCTCCAAGTGCTTTTAGTGTTGACATGAAGTTTTTGTTTCTTTCTTCACACATTTATATTTATGTATATTTCAGTAATGACTTCCCCATATGTCTAGGAATATGCTCATATTTTTTCCCTCCTAAAATGTATGTTAACAATTCATTTCTCTCTTCTTTTTTTTAAAAAAATTATTTTTTGTAGAGACAGGTCTCACTATGGCTGGTCTTGACTCCTGACCTCAAGGGATCCTCCTCCTTCTGCCTCCCCACAGTGCTCAGTTAACAAGCATAAGTCACTGTGCTTGGCCCATTTCTCTGTAATATTAGTCTATCTTACTTCTTCATGTCATAGGAAAACTTCCCTAAAGGGTGGGCTCTAATGCATTGTCTTCATTTTATCCCAGTTGTTTCATTAAACAAGTTTTCCTAGAAATATTTTGATGTTATATTTGATGTATATACAAGAATATATGAGACATAGATGCAAATTATAAATCCATCATCTATGCAAGAAGTAGAACATTACCAATATGATTGCATTTTGAAGTGTCTCTCCCCTCTGACCCGCCTTTATTTTTCCCTGGAAGGTGACCATGATCCTGAATTCTGTTTGCCATTTTATGGCTTTTTTGTTATAAATATACATGCCTACATTCATACATATATTATGTATACACACATATACATGTGATGTATTTTATTTTGTTTAATCCTTAGCTTTACACAAAGATTATATCATGTATCACCTTCTGAGACTTGCTTATGTACCTGAGATTCACCCATGATGTTGCAGGTGGCTATAGTTACTTGATTTTACTGCTGAATATAACAAGTTATGTATCTGTTCTCCTGTCAGTGAACATTTGAGCATTTGAGTTGTTTGTGTGTTTTTCTCTATGATTAACACCACTACTACATACATTCTTATAGGTAGAAATTTTGTCTGTGGTACATACTTAGAAATGGAATTGCTGTGTTGCTGTGTTTTTATTCACTCTTCAGCTTACTGCTATTCCTCTACTGAAACCATTCTCTAAAGTTGCTAGTGAGTTTCTAATTACTACATGTAATAAACTTCGTTTTATATCTCATATTATTGATATTATTGACCCCTTGCTCCTTCATTATATGCTCTCCTTTTTTGAAATTGATACCATTTATTCTGGATTTTCCTCCTGGCACTCTTCTGTGTTTCATCCCAGATATCTTAGAAGGATTCTCATAATTTACCTGCTGTTTAGTGGTTGGCATGTATGCTGGTTATTTATAATTGTTTAACAAACTACTTCAGAAACTGAACAGATACTTACATATATAGAGAGAATCACTGTTTGCTGGGCCAAAAATTCAGGCAGTGCTTGGCTGGGCAATTTTTTTACTGGGATCACCTGCTGGTATTCAGCTGGTGTCTGGTTGGGTCTGGAGGATCCACGGATTTTTCACTCAAATATCTGACACCCTGGTGAGAAAGACGAAAGGCTGGCTCAGCTGAGCCATTCTCCTTCAGGCCCTCTCCATGTGATCTTTTCAGCAGAGGGATGGCTGAGTGTTCAGAGAGAGTAATGTATAACCAGCCCATTCTCTTAAAGACTAGGCCAGAAATTAGCTTGGTGTTACTTCTGCTATACTCTATCTGTCAAAATTATGTAATGGGTAAAACATTTTTCCATTATTTAAATTTGTATGTCCTTGACTATTATTATTATGGTTGAGTTTCTTTTAATATACTTATTTACTGATTGCTTTGCTTCTTCAGAGATTTAGCTGTTTGAATAATTTGTCCAATTTTGATTGGGAATTGTTTAAAAAGTAATTTGTCAGCAATTCTTGCCTGTTGGGGACATTAATTCTTTGTGCACTGTGTGTTTTACAAGTATTGTCTTCCTACTTATGAAAACTTTCATTTGTTTTATGAAGCATATTTTGACATAAAGAATATAAAAAATGTTACTATAGTCAAATTTGTTCATTTTCTCCCTTTATAGCTTTTGAGTCCCCTGTCTTGTTTAGAAAGAATTATCTTAAGATTTGTGGCCATACAGTTTGTTAATAGCAGTACAAAATAAGCACACCTTCCATAACATTCCTTACACTAAATAAAATAATCATAAACATGTCACTATATTGAATTCAGTTTAGAATAGCTCTATTATAATGATATATGGACACTAACTTGGAGGATTGATTAGCACAGCAAGCAGCAGATGCTTTACACAAACTGAGCTTTGAAAGAGAAGTTGTTATCCCTTGGGATTTTTAAAGCAGAGAATTCCTGGCAGCCATATGTCTTTTTGCCTTGTGTTTAGGTGATGTGTGTGTGTCCAGGAGGAAAAGGGCCTTTCCTCTCTTCTCAGTTTATTTAAGATAGGCAGATCCTTGTCTTCTGTGCTCTAGGAGTAGCAGTATTTGTGTGGAGAGATCCATTCAAAAGTCTAGATTCCCCTTCCCTAATTTCACACTAGCTTTGGCTATTTTTGATTTCATCTCTATTAAAGTCTCCTTCACCCTGCCACTCCTTCCCCGCTGCTCCCCAACTTGATCCTGGTCAGCAGCTCTAGCCTTCTGTTTGACCTGCTGGAGAGCTTATACTCTGGCCTAGAGTCAGTGTTTTTGCCTCTAAACTGAAGCCCCTGTAGGTGGTCACTGCTGGCAGCTTGAGGCTTTTGGCTTCCTTCAAGTTCTTTCTGATCCAGGAAACTGAATCCAAAGGAGCACAAAAAAGTGAATGAGAAAACTATTTTGAAATATCCAATTAAGTTCTTATTGATTATAGTCATCCTATTGCACCATTACATATAGGTATTATTGATTCTATTTTTTTACCCATTAACCATCCCCAGCTCTCCTGCAACCCCCAAAAACTTAAAGAATGTAATTGGATTACTTGTAACTCAAAGGATAAATGCTTGAGGAGATGCATATCCCTATTCTCCATGTTGTGCTTATTTTACATTGCATGCCTGTTTCAAATCATCTCACGTATCCCATAAATATATATACCTACTATGTACCCACAGAAAAATATTTTTTAAAAGTGAACAAGAAAGGCCATCTTAGGGTTATTGATAAGTTACCCAAACACAATTTCCTTTTTTTATGTTAAGAAACTAGGGTGGTTCTCAGGAGTCTGAAATGAAGACTCATTCACTGGGAAGTGACACTTGGGTAATTTTCTTTTCCAAAATTCTTCTCCTGACCACACCCTAGTGAAAATCTTCACTGACCATCTCGTTTCTGAAATTACTTTCCCTGTCTTGGACACAATTCACAATATATTCTTTTTTTTTCCCCACTTCCATGGAGTTCCAATAAGGCCAGCAATAGAAAACCGTCATGGTATGATAGCTGGAGTCTAGTCAATATGAGACCAACTCTCAGATCTACTATTTATGAAGTCAGGCCACTTAACCTGTTTCCCACTTAACCTGGAAACCTGTTCCCACTTAACACAAGAAATATTAACATAAATCTTAACTTGCAGGATTGTCATCAGGATTACTGATAAGGTATAAAAATCATCTATAATAGTATTTGACACATTGTCAAGTCCTCAAGAAGATGGTAAATTAATGTACTATATTTGTTTAGAATGTTATAATCAATATATAGGGACCAGGCTATAAGAGACCTCCAGGGAATATCAGTGCCATCCCAGGACTCCCAGAGAGGAAATATGTAGAGTAAGGTTCAAACTGTGTTTCAGGGATACATTTCTATATTATATGACTTATTCTCACTGGTCTGCATCACCAAAAGTGTACTTGCTCTCAGTTAATGAAGATAAATTAATATTGACTTATTCTACTATAGGACTTATGCATTTACCTGAATCTAGAAATCAGAAAAAGGAGTATGCTAGAGTTTTTGTAAGCTTTCTTGTGACTTTAATCCTATCTTTATGGGTGGGATTTTAGGAGGGAAAAATTATCACTTGAACTTCAAATTATAAATCTAAGACTTCAGTTCTCAATTCTGAAACTTAGTAGAAATTTTCAATCAAATTTCAGTGCAGAGTCCTTTGCCCAAACTAGCATCAGGCCAAATGTAAAAAGGGAAAGAAAATAAGGTATCAAGAATAATTATTCAGACATATATTATATGACTTATTTCCTAAAAAGATCCATATGTTCCTTTGTCCAAGATCAATTCCCAAATTTTACACCCCTAAAAAAATTCAGAAATCAAATAAACAGTATTCTTTCAGCACTTCTGTAAGCCCTCAACAGAAGCCTAGATCCTATTCCTGCTCTTCCCAGAAAAGACCTCCCGAATGTTATATTAAAGATACTTTGCCAGTGTTATCCTTACACTTTGGCCTCTATGAGACTGATCATTTTATTTTAATTGCTTGATCCTTAGCTGTAATTAGTACTACCAGCTGTGCCCTCTCCTGGGCTTTCTTGACATAGCTAAGCCCATATGAACACTAATTAGAGACACTGGGATTGATCACATTATCTCTCCTAGTTTCTGCCCTTGAAATGATCAGTTATTGCATATAAATACCCCATTACAGCGATGGGGTAGAGAGAGAGTACAGATGAATATGGCGTGCTTCACTATTTCTTGTTACAGGATGCAAATTTCTAGATTAAATGATCTGACAAGTCTAACATGCTCAATAAGGGACATAACCTAGGACTAGTCTGTCTCACTTTATGTTTTCCAGAGTTTATCGGTAGTTGATACTATTATTTAACCTCAGTATTTCATATTCTTACTAGTTTTTAAAATGTTTAGGGATAATACCACAATTTTTTTTACCGGGGGTTTTCCAATCTCAAAGGTAGCTTAATGCTTTCATGTTGAAGGCTTTCAAATAGATTAATATAGATTTATATGTACAAATATTCTCTTGTAATTCTAAGTTATTTTCTGTTACTGTTTTTTGCCATTCTCTAAGTTTATAGTTTATAATTCCTTACTTCCATTTTCAAAGTTTTCTTTTGTTCCGGTTGTAACTTTTAACTTAGTAACTAACTCATATTCATCCCTGGCTAGCAAGTAATACGTTTAAGGCAGGCTTCTTCTCTGAGTGTGTATATCAAAAGATTTTGAGTTATAACACTTTTCCATTTTAATAGAAGATATAGTCTTTGTTTTTGTTCATTTGGAATTCACTGAGGTTTTCTTTGTGGCTTAACATATTGTAATTTTTATAAATGTCCAATATGTAATTGAAAAAATAAACATATATTCTCCTTCTGCATTTGCATATTTAATATTTTCCTTTATTTATGTAAACCTAACTAATTATACTTCTCTATTTAATCTATCAAATACGAACATTCCCATTATAGTTATGCCTCTTTTCTAGTACAGGACATTTTATTTTATAACTTTGAAAACTAGTTCTGACGGTAATTGCCAGAATGTTCCCATTGTAACTTTGCTGTATTTATGTTTGAAGTTAATTAACAATTTGTGAAGAGATTCTTTGAGACTATCATGCTTCTCATCAAACTTCTGTCACTTTTTTCTCAACATTGATAATTTCCTCCCTCCATTATTTCTTTTATATTTATTACCTGGCATTCTACTATAAGAAAAAACTTTTTCTTCCTTCATTAATTAATATTTCTGTAGGTTCATGGGTTATTATTTTATTCAATAGATTATAATCTATTGTTATGATTCTTTGTTTTGCTACCCTGTATTTGGCCAGTGAAAGCCTCTGGGAAATACAGGGGGCTCTTGTATGTTTTTGATATCTCTTCATCATTCCACGAGTACCTCCTTATATCTTGTCAGTTATCAAGATGTGAAACTATTTTTTTGGTATGTAAAGGCTCATGAAAATGTCTCTTTGTGTGGATGTAATTTCTCTTTTAATTTTATAACATCTATATACTTTTGGTAAATAGAGTTTTTTTTTTTATTGTTGCCAATAGCCATACTTCTTAACATTGTGGCTCCTTTGGTTTTTACAGTAATATTCAAAAGGCAAGCACTAGTCAGGGTAGCGGAATCTTAGGAAATGTTAATGTCTTGTGACATTATGAAAAATGGTTCTAGTGAGTATAGGAGACAATTCAGTGAAGGAAACTTTCATCGATATTTTAAAATGAAAACTGAAGGCACAAAAAGTTTCTAAAAAAGCAAAATAATCATTAATTGATTCAGTAGGTAATTGAATCAATTGAATTGATTCAGAGGATTATGTATGTAAAGTAGTAAAAAAGTATATAGATGTTCAAATAAAATGGATCTGAATTTGAGTCCCAGCTCCACCACTTACTAGCTGATAACCCTGCAGATTTTATTTAAAATCTCTAAACTTCAGCATTCTCATTCGTGTAATTACCATAGTATGTTATCAAACTCATAGGTCTGTTGTGATGGTTAAATAATAAGATGTAAATAAAGTGCTTAAACCAATGTCTAGTACATGGTGAGTGTTCCATAAATACTAACTCTTATAATCACTTTTATTATTGTTAATAAATTAAAAAATTAAAGTAATTGGTTCTTTACTTAGCTTTGCTTTCTTTCATTCATTTAGTCATCAAATTTCTGTTGAGCTCCTTTGTTCCAGCCTGTGTGCTCAGTCCTAGAGAGAACATCAATGAACAAAACAGACATGACTCCCATTTTCACAGAGTTCACAGCGAAGTATTGAGGAAAAATAATTGAATCCTTCTTAAGTTTTTAAAAAGTAAATTAAAACATCTATAAAAATGCACAAAATATGAACATACTATAATTATTGTAACAATCCTCATGTAAACACCTTCTATGTCAAGAAATAGCAAGCACAGCATTAGAACCCAGAAGCCCTGGAGCCCCTTATCTATCTTATTTCTTTCCTCCCTATAACCACTATCCTGAATTTTATAAGAAGAAATGTATTGGCTGTTTGGTTTGTATTATGACTTATATATGCCCTCTTAAATGATAATGTTAGTTTGCTTGCTTTTGAATTTTACCTAAATGTAAGCATACTATATGAACTTTTCTCTGCCTTGCTTTATGTGTATTCATCTATAATCGTTTCTCCCCCCCGCAAACATTTTGTCTGTTAAGGTCATCTATATTGTTACTTCTTGTTTTGATTGCTCTAGTTGATGGACATTTGGTATGTTTCTCATTGTTGGCTACTGTGTTAGTCAGAGTTCTCTAGCAGGACAGAAGTAATAGGATAGATGTGTATATGAAGCACACATCTGTGGCAACACCCTCACAGAAACATCCAGAAACAGCACTTTGCATCCTTTAATTCAATCAAGTTGATACTTAATATTAACCATCACAGCTACTATAAACTATGCTGCTCCGAACTTTCAAGTACATATCTCTTGGGCATAATTATGCTTACTTCCTTTGGGTATACCCAGAAGTTGAATTGTTGGGGTCATATGACAGACATATCTTCATACTTAGTAGATAATGGCAAATACATTTTTGAAGTAGTTGTCGCAATATATACTCACATTAGTGGTTTATCATGTTTTATTTAAGAAAATAAAGAATCGGAGAAGAAGTCCACCAAATAAATCACTCCGGGAATTAAGTGGTGCTTTTTATGGCTTATGTTTATACTTGCTTCCATTTTCTTCTTCTTCTTTTTTTTTTTAATAATGTGACCCAGAGATACAATGTGCTTTTGTCCAGATTTAACTTTGACATAAACATGTCAGTACCCTTTGTATTTCCTGAGGCTTCTTTCTTTGCTAGATTGGCTGTGACATAGGAAGCCATTTACTCAGTGCCTTAGCTCTCTGTTGGGCTACTTGTTCACCCACTTTAATTCTTTGAATAAAGTACAGAGAAGGGAAGATGAAGGGATGTTAAAGAGGGAGGAGAAGGGAAGGAAGAGACACAAGGAGATGATTCTTTTCAGTTTTAAAGTTTTTCTGCTAATCAAAACTAGGTAATAAAAGTGTTTGCAAAGTGTCCAAAGTTTTGAGAGTCATCATAGCCAGACTATAGGGTCTTACCCTTTCCACTGAGGTATTAACATGGAGTCCCTTTGGACTTTTAATCTCCCTGTTTAGTCCTGAGAGTAATGCTAACTGCTGTAACAAATCAGCCTGCACATTTTAGTCATCTCAATTAGGTGGCTTGCATTTCTGAACATCTGCAACTGGGTGACACTTGTGTCACTAGGTTTTTACCTCACTTGAGGAAGGTTTCCAATTTTAATTTCTCACACCTTTATTCAGTATTTTGAGCTCTCTCTTTACTTATGCCCGCTTTTGGAAATTTTAGGAAATTTTCACAGTTTGAGATCTAGGCTTCTAGACTACAGGGGCTGTTGATTTTATTCACTGTCATGTGCTCTTTGTATGCTGAGCAACTTACTCCTGCACTAATCAAAATATGATTGTGTAGCTCCTTGAGATTTGTGTATCATAAGGTCCCAGTCACTTGGTGTACACAGGGCAAATTATAATTAGAGTCAACATCCTGTATTGGCTGGAAGCTCCCACCCCAAACTACAGAAATAGAGTGTGTGTGTGTGTGTGTGTGTGTGTGTGTGTGTGTGTATGTGTGTTTTCAGAAGAAGAAAGTATACAAAAAAAAGGCAATAAAAGGTTACTAAAATAGAATTAAATAATTAATTATTATGAATGTAACCATAGTGTCATTGTATTCCTAAAGTGACGGTGAAAACTAAATACACATAAATAAATGTCAAAAAAGATTGATTTTGCCATTATGATATAATTTATTTATTAGAGGGTGATCTTTATTACTCAATAATGTTCAAATTATTCTTTCCTCCTTAAGTCAGCAGATTTGTAGTTTTGATTTAGGATGCTTAGGATACGTGGAAGCAAAATGCTTCTCTCTCTCTCTCTCTCTCTCTCGTTTGTGTGTGTGTGTGTGTGTGTGTGTGTGTGTGTATTTAAGTGCTTGGGCACAGCCTACATATGAGTGGTTATACACAGTGAGATATCATTTAAAAATTCTTTTAGATGTTGATTGAGCAATAATAACCAAAATAACCTTGAAAAATGTTTCTTATACAATGGGACTATGAACATAATTTATTTATGTATCTCAGAACATACTCAGTTTCTATTATAATTAATATTTAGCAATTATGAGATAAGGGAAATGATTTCTAGAGTCTGAACAACTGGCACAAAAACAAAATATTTTTTGTTATTTTTCATAAAATGATAAAAACATAAAATTTTGCTTTTATAGTTAAATGTTATAGCAGCATAGTGTCAACTATAAATTTAAGGCCTTCTGCTTGTAGTTTTCATTTGAATCCAGTAGATGGCGTATTTATTTCCTTTATAGGACAGCTACATTCTTGTTCTGTTACAGTGAACAGGGAATGAAAAAATCTTAGATTTATCATCTATTGAATGTTTTGTTGACAAATTATAGCTTTATTTAGTATATAAAATTTACTCACAGTAGTGATCATAAACAGATACTTGAGATATGGTGGTTACGTTTTGCTTGGAAAGTTGAAACAGATCAGGTATGTGCTTACAAGATACCTGTAGGGGTATCTTAGGTAAGGGTGTTCTTGGAGGCTAGGTCAAGCTGAAAGGGAATCTTTTTAAATCAGGTAGTAATTTATATAAGTTTCCATGCATGAAAAGGAGTGAAATTGAAGTCAACAGAACAGTGAAAGTCAAAGGCTGAGAAAAATTTGGCAAAGTGTCCAATGAGTGATGAAGTTGTGAACAGTTAACCAGATGGTTGAAAGTAAGGATATTACGGACTGAAGCCCAACTGAGGTCACATCTGGGGTCAAGATGGTTTAGGTCCCAAGTGTATGCACACTGTATTAGTTTTCTATTGCTGCTGTAACCAATCACCAAACTGTTGTGGCTTAAAACAACACAAATGTATTATCTTGTAGTTCTGGAGGTTAGAAGTTCAAAATGAGTCTCACTAGGATAAAATCAATGTCAGCAGTACTGTGTTTCTTTCTGGTGGCTCTAAGAGAGGATTCATTTCCTTGCCTTTTTCTAGTTTCTCATGCCTGGGATTATAGCTCCCTTCTGTCTTCAAAGCCAGCAGTGGTTTGTTGACTTTTTCTCACACTGCACCACTCTTGACTCATGCCTCCTGCTTTCCTTTTCGACTTAAAAGGTCCCTTGTGTTGCCCTTGCACCCACCTGGATATCTCAATATAATCTCCCTGTCTCAGGCCGTCTGATTAGTAACCTTAATTACCTTAACACATTTGCAACTTTAGTTTCCATTTGCTATGTAATGAAACATAACCACAGGTTCTGGAGACTAGGGCATGGCCATCTGTGAGGTTTCTCCTCTGCTCACCATAGACACTGAGCATATTTCACACTTAAACGGCTGGCGGGGATAAATGTTTTTCTCCAAATAGTAAGACTAAATCAGGCTGGCCCAAATAAACATACAATTCTATAACCACAGCTTGTTTATATAATCTGCAGGTTCATTCTCTGCACAGTGATAAGAACTACAGGTGAAGAAGAACAGGTTTGGGCCACTAATTCTCTTTCAGTTTCTTTCAAAGACAAAGCTTCATTTCTATAAAAGTCAACATCCCTGCATGTTAAAAACCCTCAACAAACTGGGCATTGAAGGAACATACCTCGAAATAATGAGAGCCATCTATGACAAACCCACAGCCAACATCATACTAAATAGGCAAAAGCCGGAAGCATTCATCTTAAGAACTGGAACAAAATAAGGATGTCCACTTTCACTACTCCTGTTCAACATAGTACTGGGAGTCCTAGCAAGAGCAATCAGGCAGGGGAAAGAAATAAAGGACATCCAAACTGGTAATGTGGAAGTCGCACTATCTCTACTTGCAGAAATTATCATTCTATACCTAGAAAACCCCAAGTCTCTATCCAAAGGCTCCTAGGGCTTATAAACAACTTCAGCAAAGTTTCAGGATACAAAAATCAATGTACAAAAATCACTAGCATTCTATACACCAATAACATCCAAGCTGAGAGTCAAATCAAGAATGCGATAACATTCACAATTGGCACAAGAAGAATGAAATACCTAGAAATACAGGTAACCAGGGAGGTGAAATATCTCTATATTGAGATTCACATTTCATTTGTTTCTCTTATGTTTCTTTATTCTGTGTCATAGTTTCCCTTGGAAAAAGCAGATTAAGAATCACAGACTTGCTTGTAATTTACCTGTTATTTACTTATTACTTTACTTATTTTACTTAATTAGCTCATTAATGTCATAATATATACTTAATTTTATATAATTTTTTTTTTGAGACGGAGTCTCACTCTCTTTCCCAGGCTGGAGTGCAGTGGTGCAATCTCAACTCACTGCAACCTCCGCCTCCTGTGTTCAAGCGATTCTCCTGCCTCAGCCTCCTGGGTAGCTGGGACTACAGGCATATGCCACCATGCCCGGCTAATTTTTTTGTAACTTTAGTAGAGATGGGCTTTCACCATATAGGTCAGCCTGGTCTTGAACTCCTGACCTTAGGTGATCCACCCACTTCAGCCTCCCAAAGAGCTGGGATTACAGGTGTCAGCCACCGTATTCAAATTAGGTAAATGAGAGAAGCACTGTCATTTTTGGTGTTGACACTTAAAGCCTCAATTCTGATTTTGCTTATAGATTCTTTCAGGTTACAGTGATGTTCATAAACTTTGGCTAGTTAATAAATGTTAGCAAGTAATATTCCTGTAAATTAATAGAAAGTCAAACAAGTGTTAGCTCATCGCTCATGAAAATCTTCCATTTCAGTAGTTCTCAAAACTACTTCTACATTAAAAATTATCTGGTGAGTTTTAAGAAATATGACATGCAAAGTCCACCCTAAACCAATTAATTTCAAATCCCTGAGAATAAGGCCTGAACATTGGTATTACATGAAAGCTCCCTGGGTGTTTTGGATGTGCAGCCACAGTGAAGGACTGTGTAGTTTTCTCCCCTCTATTTTTCATTCTTTTCTTGTCTGCCTTTTTCTCTTCTTAGTCCAGACTTGGCTGAAAGATTACCTTTCTCAGTAATAGACAGAGTTAATTGGAAGCCTCTGTTTTTATTGAAGCTGCCAGGCTATATTTCCTGTGGAAAAGCAAATTGGCTTGTTCCTGACAGCCACTGCCTTACCTGTTTCTCTGAATCAACAGATAAATTAAGGTACAAACATATTCAAACAGATAGCAATAGAGTTTTCTCTGCAGGCTCAAAGTGGTTTTAAGTTACTCAAGTGTTTCATATTTATTGATGATAATGTTTTAACAAAGAGATGCTGAGTTATGATTACCATAAACCACTGGCAAATCTGCCATTTCAAGTCCAAAGTATAGTGGAATGCAAATCATTTGCATTTATCTCTTTATCGCCAGCCAGACTTAAACTACTTAGAACTGACTTCATAACTGATTACTATTAGGAACAATGTTTGGACATGAATAATGTTAAAGGCACCATGAGGTGTCACAAGAATTACGTGCCTCTTGTGTCATGGCATCTCTGAATGCCATTTTATTTGCAGAGCTTTATGCTCCACAAATATTTGGTAGATACAGTACAGAAGTGATATAATATTTTTATAGACAATTCTGAATGAGTATAACATCATCTTACAGATTGGAGGAGAAAGACGTTTATTTATCTCACATGTCTGCAGCCAACTATTAATGTCTTTTCATGCTAGTAGACTTTTGTCTGTCCCCTTCTTGTATAATAATGGATTTGGTCAATATTAAAGAAAATTTAGACTATATTATTTTATAAAATTAAATGTTATTTGCAAGGCTTCCTCTGTTGAGGCTTACTGAATTTCTTGCTAATTCAGAGCTCCTTTCTATTTTTATAGCAATGTTCCCAGAGTGACAGCCTAAGCCGCATTCACATGATACATTTGTCAATGTCTAGGCTTGCCTTGAATGTTCACACTGTGTGCTAACTAGAAATTGATTTGAATATTGAACTACTTACAGGCATACTTCATTTTATTTTGCTTCACTTAATTGTGCCTCACAGTTATTGCATTTTTAAAACTAATTAAAGGCCATGGCAACCCTGGCAGGGCATCCAGCCAGTCTATCAGGACTATTTTTCCAATAGCATGTACCCACTTTGTATCTCTGTGTCACATTTTCATAATTCATGCAATATTTCAAACTTTTTAAAAAATTATTCTATCTCATGGTGATCTGTGGTCAGTGATCTTCAGTGTTACTGTTGTAATTGTTTTGGGGCTCCATGAACTGTGCCCATATAAGACAGAGAACTTAATAAATGTTATGTATGTTCTGACTGCTCCACTGGCCAGCTGTTCCCCCCTGTCTCTCTCTCTCCTCAGTCCTCTCTATGTCCTGAGGCACAACAATGATGAAATTGGGTCAATGAATAATTAGAGGCCCTACAATGGCCTTTAATTGTTCACAGGAAAGGAATTGTCATACATCTCTCACATACAATCAGAAGCTAGACATGATTAAGCTTAGTGAAAAAAGCATGTCAAAAGTTGAGATAGGCCAAAAGCTGGGCCTCTTGTGCCATGCTGTTAGCAAAATTGTGGTGGCAAAGGAAATCTTCTTGAAGAAAATTAAAAGTGCTACACCAGTGAACACACAAATGATAAGAAAGTGAAACAACTTTTGCTGTTTCAGTGAAATTGCTGATAGAATATTTTAGTGGTCTGGATAGAAGATCAAACCAGCCACTACACTCCCTTAAGCCAAAGCCTAATGTGGAGCAAGGCACCAACTCTTCAATTCTATCGAGGCTGCAAGAGGTGAGGAAGCTGCAGAAGAAAACTTTGAAGGTAGCAAATGTTAGTTCATGAGGTTTAAGAAAATAACCCGTCTTCATAACATAAAAGTACAAGATGATGGAGCAAGTGTGAAGTAGAAGCTTCAGTAAGTTATTCAAAAGATCTAGCTAAGATAATTGATGAAGGTAGCTACACTAAACAACAGATTTTTCATGTAGACAAAACAGCTTTATAATGAAAGAAGGTGCCACCTAGGACTAGCAAGATAACTAGATTTAGAAGTGGAGCCCAAAGATGTGACTGAATTGCTGAAATCTCATGATAAAACTTAAATGGATAAATTGCTTCTTATGAATTAGCAAAGAAAGTAGTTTCTTCAGATGGAGCCTACCCCCAAGTGAAGATGCCATACACATTGATGAAGTGACAATGAAGGACTTAGGATAATGTATAAATTTAGTTGATAAAGCAGCAATGGAGTTTGAGAGAAATGACTTCAATTTTGAAAGAAGTTCTACTGCAGTAAAATGCTTTTAACAGCATCCCATGCTCCAGAGAAATCTTTCATAAAAGGAAGAGTTAATCAGTGTGGCAAACTCCATTGTCTTATTTTTAAAAATTGCCACAATTACCCCAACCTTCAACAACCACCAGCCTGATCAGTCAGCAGCCATCACATAAATCCTCCACCAACAAAAAGATGATGACTTGTTGAAGCTCAGATGGTAATTAGCATTTTTGTAAGAAAGTATTTTTAAATTAAGGTATATGCATTTCTCGTTAAGATAGATATAATGTTATTGCACACTTAGTAGACAGACTAGAGTATAGTTAAATGTAACTTTTATATGCAATGGGAAACCGAAAAATTTCTGTGACCTTCTTTATTGTAATGTTCACTTCATTGTGGTGGCCTCAAACTGAACTCACAATATTTCCAAGGTACGCTTGTTCTTTCACAGGAAATACATCTGACTGGAGTCCATAATGCCTGTGGACCTCCAGAGCTAAAACATCAAAGCTACAGTGAAAGAGTGGTCTTTTCTTCACTGCTATGCCCTCAAAGGAGAAGGGACTTATCCTGAGGAAAGGGAGAGCTGAGGTGGACCGTTGTAGATAGAGACATCCCGTTGCTGAGACAATGGGAGTGTCGTCCAGCCTCCACACTGGTGTTGAAGCCAAAACGGCACCAACAAATTTAAAGGCAAGGAAAACTTTATTTATTTATTTACATGTTTTTGAGACAGAGCCTCACTCTGTCACCTAGGCTGGAGTGCAGTGGTGCGATCTCAGGTCACTGCAGCCTCCTCTTCCCAGGTTCAATCAATTGTCTTGCCTCAGCATCTTGAGTAGCTGGGACTACAGGGATGCATCAATGCGCCCAGCTAATTTTTGTATTTTTAGTAGAGATGGAGGTTCACCATGTTGACCAGGCTGGTCTTGGTTTCCTGACATCAGGTGATCTGCCCACCTCAGCCTCCCGAAGTGCCGGGATTACAGTCATGGGCCACTGTGCCCAGCCAAAGAAGACTGTATTCAAGACTATTGAAATAGAAGAAAGGGACTGAACTCTTCTTCACTGAAACAAAAGTTAGAAGGGTTTTTAAGCACTTGGATGAGCTGGTGGAAAAGTACTGGTTGACATTAGGGGATAGATTGATCAATGAGATAGTTTGATCACATTTAATTATTCCTGAGTTTGCAAATGTTTTTCTCTGCAAATAGGGCATCTGTGTTTGCTAATTGTTACCCATCAAAGTTAGGTTCCTACCTTCTCAAAGAGACTGAAATATAGTGGTGCCATCTCCTTTGATGTTTACATTTTAAGAGATGGTTCCCAGGTTCTTAAAAAAGACATTTCCTAGACTGTAAAACTGGAAAATAGCTGGGAAGGGATTGACATACATTTCAAAAGGGAAGAGAAAGAATTTACAATTGCAGATTTTCTAAAGTAAATGCTCTAAAAAAAGGAAGGTCAGAGGCTCATTGTCTGGTAGAAATATGTCTAAAGCTTAGTCAAGCTGAGGGGAACTGTTTTTATCATTGGAGTAGTGCTAATGTCTCAAGGAGAGATGACCTCAATAAAGAGTGACTCCCAAAAAGTAGTGCCATGAAAGTTTCTTTAAGAAAGCAGAGACCCAAGGCAGTGCTGAGAGAAGAAGGGCATTTCTTCATACCAAGTCTGCACAGTGATCATTGAAGCAGATAGGAGCAAAGTCTCTGCCAGAGCCAATGAAGAACAAAGTCAATGAAAGATCAATAGGCAGTAATAGCAGAACTGACAACAAAAAGCATTCCTGTAATAGCACCTTTCTGGGAAGTAGATGGGAAGTTTAATTCTCCATTTGGCTAGTGTGGCAGCTGTGGTGCCAAGCGCAGAAAAGTCAGTGGGTGTAATGGAAGGTGGCAACTACTCATAGGTAAATGTGAGCACCCCATGAACCACTCTGGAGTGAAAGGGAAATAGAGTCGTGCATTGCCTAACAACAGTCACATGTTCTGAGCTATGTGTCATTAGACAATTTCATCGTTGTGCAAACATCATAGGGTATACTTACATAAACCTAGATTATATAGCCTACTATCACTTAGGTATGGTGTAGCCTACTGTTCCTAGGCTACAAACCTGTACAGCATGTCACTGTACTGAATACTATAGGCAATTGAACTGTTACATCAAGTTTAGCCTTAAACTGCCTCCTTACATAGTTAAGTTTGGCCTAAAGTTTTTCGTGTACATCATGAACTATATAACAAGTGGAGGGGTAAACCAACCATAGCCCACACCTGTGCCAATCACTGAGTTTTGGGCAATCAAATGTAGCCAACTGTTCAAACCGTGTTCAAAGAAGGCAAACACCAAGATGTAATCAATCCAGTTGTTTCTGTACCACACTTCCAATTTCTATATGTCACTTCCCTTTTTTTTTTGTCTATAAATCTTTTTCCTCAATGTGGCTGCATGGAAGTCTCTCTGAATCTGCTGTGTTTCTGGGGGATGCCTGGTTAGCGAATTGTTCATTGCTCAATTAAACTTCCTTAAATTTAATTCGGCTGAAGTTTTTCCTCTAACAGAACACAATGGTAAATATCTGTATATCTAAACATAAAGAAGGTAGAAGGATGGTAACCATAGGCTGGGAAGCATGGTTAGGGGGTTGGCGGGGAGGTGGGGATGGTTAATGGGTACAAAGAAAATAGAGAAAATGAATAAGACCCACTATTTGATAGCACAACAGGGTGACTACAGTCAATAATAACTTAATTGTACTCTTTTTTTGAGCCAAGTTTCATTCTTGTCACCCAGGCTGGAGTGCAATGGTGTGATCTCGGCTCATCACGGCCTCTGCCTCTGGGGTTCAAGTGATTCTCCCGCCTCAGCCTCCTGAGTAGCTGGGATTATGGTTGCCCGCCACCATGCCTGGCTAATTTTTATATTTTTAATAGAGATGGGATTTCATCATGTTGGCCAGGCTGGTCTCGAACTCCTGACCTCAGGTGATCCACCCACCTTGGTTTTAAAGTAACTTGGAATGTAATTAGATTGTTTGTAACTCAAGGGATAAAAGCTTGAGGAAATGAATACCCTATCCTCCATTATGTGCTTATTTCACATTGCATGTCTGTGTCAAAACACCTCATGTATCCCATAAATATACACACCCATTATGTACCCACTAAATTTTAAAAAAATGAAAATATATTAGAAAAGGTACAGTAAAAATGTGGTATTTTAATCTTATTGGATAACCATTGTATATATAGTCTCTCCTTAACAGAAATACCCTTATGTGGGATATGACTGTATTTGGAAGTGGTTATGGTTTTAGTGACATTGTAGGGGGAAATGATCCTAGGAATTTGTCTTCTTTTATTTCTGATTCTGTAGTATCTTTCCAACTGATGTAGTTTTGGAAGTAGCATACTTAATTAAAAATAATATGTTGTCTTCATTATTCAAATGGAAATTTCAGTTTCAGTTTTGCTACTTACTACCTATGTTATCTTGAGCAAGTTCCTTAAATTCCTTATGCTTGAATTTTTGCTTCTGAAAAAATAAAAATAGAAATCCTGTGCAAGATTGGTATAATGTTTAAATGTATAAAAAGCACAAAGCATGTGCCTGGTACATGACACACCCCCTACAAAGGTAAATCCCCATCTTCCGTTATACTCCTATACATGATAGTCTCCAACATAATAAATTATCTCAATATTCAAGAGTAACTGATGTTAAAAACTTGACTAAGCCATCTGCTTTCTTTAGATAGTCTCTGTGCAAAGAAAGTTTAGAAAGTCAAGAAATTCTTTAAATTATTAAGATGACTGAAACATCCGGCCTCAGTTACTTGGAGAATTCAATTGAAAAAGATATAGTATTTTCTTAGCATAATGACCTCAATTCTCTAATCTATTTTGCATGTTTAGGCATACCTAGCGAGCCAAGAGAACTGGAAGAAAATGATCACAATTTGCAACTAGAATATCACAAAATTCGTTCTAGTAACACTTTTGGCAAGGTGAAATTTTATCATGTAATAAAACACAAATACACTTGTAAGAAATCTCTTCAACTTTTCTCATGCTTTACTAAAAATATAAGAATGCTATGGTTTATAGATTGAACACCACCTTTAAATTTATGACTTCTATCCTATGGAACACATCAAGAGATATCATCTAAAAGAATGATTTACAAAGATGTCATGTATTAAATTAACATTAATACAAATTTATAGAATGTAATCATATTTGTTTATTTTTGATTTATTGCCTGGGCTTTTGGAATCTTATCCAAAAAATTATTGCCCAGAACAATATAATGGAGCTCTTCTGTATTTTTTCTTTCTTTCTTTCTAGTAACTTACAGTTTTTGGTCTTATGTTAATAAGTCTTTTATCCATCTTAAGTTGATTTTTGTATGTGGTATGAGATGAGATCCAATTTCATTTTTCTGCATGTGGATATCTAGTTGTTTTTTTTAAATTTTATTTTAAGCCCAGGGGAACGTGCGAATTTGTTATATAGGCAAACTTGTGTCATGGGGGGTTTGTTGTACAGATTATTTCTTCACCCAGGTATTAAGTCTAGTACCTATTAGTTTTTTTTTTTTTAACCCTCTCCATCCTCCTACCTTCCACCCTCTGACAGGCCCCAGTGTGTGTTGTTCCCCTCTATATGTCCATGTGTTCTCATCATTTACTTCCCATTTATAACTGAGAACATGCAGTATTTGGTTTTCTGTTATTGTGTTACTTTGCTAAGGAAAACGGCCTCCAGCTCCATCCATGTTCCTGCAAAGGACATGATCTCCTTCTTTTTTATGGCTGCATAGTATTTAATGGTGTATATGTACCATATTTTCATTATGCAATCTATAATTTATGGGCATTTAGGGTGATTTCATGTCTTTGCTATTGTGAATAGAGCTGTAATGAACATATGTGTACATGTGTCTTTATAATAGAATGATTTATATTTCTTTGGGTATATACCTAGTGGTGGGTTTGCTGGGTCAAATGGTATTTATCTTTTTAGGTATTTAAGAAATTGCCACATTGTCGTCCACAATGGTTGAATTAATTTACACTCCAACCAAGAGTGTATAAGAGTTCCTTTTTCTCTGCAACCTTGCCAGCATCTGGTAATTTTTGACTTTTAATAAATAGCCATCCTTGACTTTTTAATAAATAGCCATTCTTACTTGTGTGAGATAGCATCTCAGTTTGGTTTTGATTTGCATTTCTCTAATGATCAGGGATGTTGAGCTGTTTTTGATATGATTGTTGGCTGCATGTATGTCTTCTTTTGAAAGCTGCCTGTGTCCTATGCCTACTTTTTAATGGAGTTGTTTGCTTTTTCTTGTAAATTTAAGTATCCTTATAGATTCTAGACATTAGATATTTGTCAGATGCATAGTTTGCAAAAACTTTCTCCCATTCTGTAGGTTGTCTGTTTACTCTGTTGATAGTTTCCTTTGCTGTGAAGAAGCTCTTTAATTAGATCCCATTTGTCAATTTTTGCTTTTGTTGCCATTGTTTCTTGTCACCTTCCTTATGAAATCTTTGCTCATTCCTATGTCCAGAATGATATTGTTTTGGTTGTCTGCCGGAGTTTTTATAGTAAATAATCTGTAAAACAAACCCCTGTGACACAAGTTTACCTAAGTAACAGACCTACAGTTTTACCCCTGAACTTAAAAGTTAAAAAAAAGTTTTAGATTTTATATTTCTCTTAAATCATTCTCGAGTTAATTTTTATATACAGTGTAAGAAAGGAGTCCAGTTTCAGTCTTCTGCATATGGCTAGCCAGTTATCTCAGCACTATTTATTGAATAGGAAATCTTTTTCCCATTGCTTAATTTTGTCTGGTTTTCAAAAATTAGATAGTTTTAGGTGTTCAGCCTTATTTCTGGGTTCTTTATTCTGTTCTGTTGGTTTATGTGTCTATTTTTATATTAGTACCATGATGTTTTGGTTACTGTACCCCTGAAGTATAGTTTGAGGTTGGGTAGCCTGGTACCTCCAGCTTTGTTCTGTTAGTTTAGGATTGCCTTGGCTATTCAGGCTTGTTTTTGGTTCCATATGAAATTTAAGACAGTTTTTTTCTAGTTCTATGAAGAATGAGGCCAGCATCATCCTGACACAAAGTTCTAGTTCTATGAAGAATGAGGCCAGCATCATCCTGATACTGTGGCAGAGACACAATAAAAGAAAACTTCAGGCCAATATCCTTGATGAGCATCAATGCAAAAATTCTCAACAAAATACTGGATGACTGAATCTAGCAGCACATCAAAAAGCTTATTCACCATGATGAAGTGGGCTTTATCCCTAGGATGCAAGGTTGATTGAACATATGTAAATCAACAAATGTGATTCATCACATAAACAGAACTAAAGACAAAAATCACATGACTATCTCGATAGATACAAAAAAGGCTTTTAATAAAATTCAACACCTCTTTATGTTAAAAACTCTCAATTAGCTAGGTATTGAAGGAACATACCTCAAAATATAACAATAGGAGCCATCTATGACAAACCCATAGCCAACATCATCCTGAATGGGCAAAAGCTGGAAGCATTCCTTTTGAAGAGCAGCTCAAACAAGGATGCCCTCTCTCATCACTCTTATTCAACACAGTATTGGAAGTCCTGGCAAGGACAGTCAGGCAAGAGAAAGAAATAAGTGTATTCAAATAGGAAGAGAGGAAGTCAAACTATCCATTTTTGCAGATAACATGATTCTATATCTAGAAAACCTCATAGTCTCATCTTCTTAAGCTGATAAACAACTTCAGCAATGTCTTAGGATACAAAATCAATGTGCAAAAGTCACTTACACTTCTATACAACAAGACTCAAACCAAGAGCCACATCAGAAATGCAATCCCATTCACAATTGCCACAAAAATAATAAAATATCTAGGAATATAAAGATCTCTACAAAGAGAACTACAAAACACTTCTCAAAGAAATCAGAGATGACAAAAACAAATGGAAAAACATTCCGTGCTCATGGGTAGGAACAATCAAAATTGTTAAAATGGCCATACTGCCAAAGCAATTTTTAGGTCAATGTTATTCCTATTAAACTACCATGGATATCTAGTTTACCAGCTTCATTTGTTTAAAAGACTGTCCTTTCCCCATTTTGTGTTTTATCATTCTTGTCAAAGGTCAGTTGACCAATACTTGCATTCTGGACTTTCTGTCCTGTTCCACTGATCAATATGTCTGTTTTCATGGCAGTTCCATGCTGTTTTGATTACAATAGCTTTATAATATATCAAACTAAAAAGCTTCTGCACAGTAAAGGAAACAATTAACAGAATAAAGAGATAATACACAGATTGGGAGAAAATATTTACAACCCATACATCTAACAAGGGGCTAATATCCAAAATATATAAGGAACTCAAGCAACTCAATAGCAACAAAATAATAAACCAATTATAAAATAAGCAAAAGACCTGAATAGACATTTCTCAAAAGAAGAAATACAAATGGCCGACAGATATATGACAAAATGCTCAACATCTCTAATCATCATGAAAATGCAAATTAAAACTGCAATGAGATACTGCCATACACGTTTAAAAACGGCTATTATCAAAAAGACAAAAGGTAAAAAGTGTTGGTGAGGATGTGGAGAAAAGAAAATCTTTGTATGCTGTTGATGGGACTGTAAATTAGTACAGCCATTTCAGTAAATAGTATGGAGTGTCCTTAAAAACAAAAAATAGAATTATCATATAAGCCAGTAATCATACTTTTGAGCTTATATTTAAGGGCATTGAAATCAGTATGATGAAGAGCGGTCTGTACTCCCACGTTCATTGCAGCATTATTCACAATAGCAAAGGAGTGAAAGCAGCCTAAGTGTCCATCAACAGATGAATGGAGGAAGAAAATGTTGTCTGTACAGACACAATGGAATACTATTTAGCCTAAAAAAGAAGAAAATTCTGTCACTTGTGACAACATAGATGGAACTGGAGAATATTATGCTAAGTGAAATCTGGGCACAGAAAGACAAAAATATTGTAGGATCTCACTTATATGTGGAATATAAAAAAATTGATCTTATAGAAACAGAAAATAGAAAGGTGGTTGTCAGAGGCTGCGAGACAAGGGAAGAAATGAGATAAGGTAAGTTGATTAAAGGGTACAAAATCTTAGATAGACTGGAGCAATAAGTTTTGTAATCTATCACACTGCATGGTATCCACAGTTAACAATAATGTATATCTCAAAATTGCTATTTTGTTTTTGTTTTTGTTTTCGTTTTTGATATGAAGTCTGGCTCTGTCACCCAGGCTGGAGTGCAGTGGCATGATCTTGGCTCGCCACAACTTCCACCTCCCAGGTTCAAGTGATTCTCCTGCCTCAGCCTCCCCAGTAGCTGGGATTACAGGCACCTGCCACCACGCCAGGCTAATTTTTGTATTTTTAGTAGAGAGGGGGTTTCACCATGTTGGTCAGGCTGTTCTCGAACTCCTGACCTCAAGCCATTCACATGCTTGAGCCTCCTGAAGTGCTGGGATTACAGACCCGAGCCACCACACCTGGCCAAAACTGCTAAAAATTTTTAATGTTCTCACCACGAAAAACAATGAATTGGTGAGATGACAGATATGTTAATTAGCTGGATTGAACCTTTCTACAATGTATTTATAGATCAAAGCATCACATTTTACCTGTAAGTATACCCAGTTATTTGTCAATTAAAAATAATTTTACAAATAAATATATATCCTAAATATGTCATATGAAAAAAGAGTGGTAAGTTTTGTGTCTCTCTGTAGGTATGTATGTAGGTATATGTGAGGCTCTGGAATATGAATTGAGTTAATCTTACTTTCTTGGATCTCTGCAAGTAGGTATTTGAAAGTAATTCTCCTTTTCTCTTGCTTTGTGTAGTATCTGTTTCAGTGCAAATATTTTAATGAATTTATATGGGTAATTAGTTTCATGTGATTATACTTTCCTCCAGCATTTCTAGAAATATCTTAAATGCCAACATTTCCTATCTTTTATCACACAGATATAGGAAGGCTGACAATCAGCAATGGCTATGTTAAACTCTGCATAGGTGTGCTACTGTGCCTTGAACATTTTTTCTCACACTTGTCTCTGAAAGCCCATTTGCATCATTTATATTGATACTCCATATTCTTGTGTTATAGCAAGAATAATAGCCCCCAATGATGTTCACATTTTTATCACTGGAAACTGTGATAATCTTACCTTACATGGCAAAGGAATTTTACAGATGTAATTAAGATTAAGAACCTTTAGTTATGGAGATTATTCTGGATTATCCAGTTGGAACCAATCTAATCCTATTCATCTTTAAGAGTAGAGAGCCTTTCCAGGCTGTGATCAGAGAGGGGACCACTGAAGAAGGGTCAGGGAGATGGAGATTGCTGGCTTTAAAGACAAAGGAAAGGGAGGTGAACAATAGGGCCAAAGATTATACAGATCCTCTAGAAGTAGAAAAAGGAGGAAATGAATTTACTTTTAGAGCCTACAGAAAGGAATGCAGATCTGCTGACATCTTGATTTTAGCTCAGTGAGATCACAATGGACTTTTTACCTACAGAATGATAGAGCAATAAATTTGCATTGTTTTAGGCCATGCCTTTTGTAGTAATTTTGACAGTAGCAATAGAAAATGAATACACCTTGATTCCAAATATATAAGCCTGGTATAAGCTGAATGATGGGAATGGGTTGTGAGGAGGCATTCAGCTTTACAATTCATGTATGAGTCCTGCCTCTTTCCTGAAATTCCACTGAAAACCCTAACTGGAAAAGGTTTCAAGACCAGTTCTGGCCACATCTTCAATATGGTATGTTGATTGCTTATTTGCCAGAACTAGTCGTTGTGCACATTTTGGGGCTGTGTATAAAATCTTTTCAAACAGAATCACTTCAGCCACACTGGTGTCTTTACACATTTCTAACAATCCACAGACCATGTGATTATCACCAGCCACTTAACCTGTTCACTCAACCTGTGATTTCTCATTGCTGAACTCTTACTAATTTAGCTGAGGGAGAGGGAAACCTGATTTGTTCTTTTCTCCTTACTCTTAGGGAGTTTAATATTTCTCTTCTTATTGCCTTTTAAAGGTATTTCCTCCAAATCAGACTTATAACATCTTTCTCTTACATACCTACTCCCACAAGGGTGTATTGTACGTGTGTGTGTGTGTATGTGTCTGTTACAAGTTTACTATAGAAGGGCATATTTCTCATTTTCTTTCAGTCTACATTTCTATCTGTAATATGCTTTTTTTTTTCTTCCCCACCCATACCCAGTTTACCTTTCTGGTTCCTATCCTATGAATCTTTGACTTTATATGTTCACAATACAAAACTAAAGAGTGAATTTAAGTTCATGCATGTGTGTGCATGTATATGTGTGCCAACATGTGCTTAATATCAATTTACTTATAAATTGCTACTCAACTACATATACACGCATATGTTGACATGAAATAAATCAAATTAAAAATGAAATAATTAATATTAGGTAGCTTTTGCTTTTGATTGATTTTTCTCTCCAGGCCTATAAGTTTTGATGGGAAAACGAGTGTGTAAACCATTAATATTCTGAAGGTTTTTTGTTAGTTAAGGTTGTAGTTGTCGCTCCTTATTGAGATTATACCATATGCTCTGATTGCCAGTGCTTGTTTTGGCTCATATTAAGAGTGATGATGAAAGCTTTTATTTTACCAAAGCATGCTTTATCTTCTGCCCACTAAATAATTCACTAGATAAATATGTATAAATTTATATGTATAATATCTATAAATTATATGCTACACATCATTTAAAGAGAATGTAGCCATACAGTTATTATCCTACTCAAAATTACATTAAAAATAGCAGGGTATGAAATTGAGTCAAGGATATGATAAAGCTAGTCATTGATTTATCAAATATTTTAGCTATTTAAAAAAGTACTGGAGCTTCCCTAGTCTTCACCATCTCTCACTGTTGTTCCCAGTGCCCCAATATTCCTACTTTATTATTTTTCTTACACATATCCTAGAACAAAATGTTTATTATAAACTCAAAGATTAGAACAAAAGCTAAATATGATGGTAGTAATAACACTGCATGTAACCTAGAGAAAATGTTTTTCCACCACTTAGGGAACTGAAACATTACTTGCAGCGGGCTGGATGCCAATACATTCTAATAGAAGTTACTTTGGGGACAAAAAATAGACTACCACAAGAAATTTGGAGCAAGCAAAAGGAAATTAGAAAGAGTTGTTGCAAAGTGCAGATGGCAGTCCAGGGGATTTTGTGACTTTCTAACATAAATAGTTCTGTGAGGCAAGCATCCAACATACCAGCTCAATTTTGTTTGAACTGTACTCCAGCAACAGAAAAATATAGGAGTGACAATAATGCATATTAACTAGATGCAATTCAGAAATAGCAATTCTCTTCCATTTTCAGTTGGTTAGAAGATGAACATATGATGGGAGAAAACAAAACATGGTCATTTAAATCTCTTCTTGTGGTATTCATGTTTGTATTTTTGTATATTATAGTCCCATGGTACCAGCTGCATATAACTGCTTACTATCTATTGCAGTTAAGTAAATTGTGCTTTCTTGAGTGTTAACTACTCATGGACCTGTTATGATGACTCTGGGGTGAATTTACCCACTTCAGTGAACACAGTAATAAGGCAGACTCTCTATATCATGTTCTAATAGAATTAAGACACCAAGAGCATGGCATTCCAAATCTTTGGAAGTAGAAAAATGCAGTCAACCAAATGCTATCCTCTGATTGAAAGAAAACCCAAAAATGTGAGGGTTTACTTTAGAATCATTACACACATGCACACACAAAATCATTACATATACACACACATATATATATATATAGGTAGATCATTATATACATCATATATACACCATTCTATGGGTGTATGTATGGATATACCCATTTATATGTTTTTAAAATGACATATTTACATATGTATGTATATATTATCCATATAGCTATGTAGTCCTGTTTCCCTTTCTCTCTATCTGCATACTCTTTGTCCTATAAATATTTTATATTCTTTTAGCTTTGCATTCAAACTTGTTTTCTCAGAGAATAATTAAAATTTCAGAAAGCACAGGAAAATTAGATATAAAAGTCTTGGTCTCAGGAACCTGGATGTACTCACGGCATAAACTATACATTTGAAAGAGTATTTGATAAGTGAGGGAAACGTTTCCAGATTATCCCCCAACTGAACTTGAGACTAAACTGCATTTCTAAAGGATGGGGAAATAAACGAGGAAAAGATGTAAGGATATGGATAAGAGGACTCTGCTTTTGTAACTCTGGGATGAACCTGGGGGAAGAGGGACAACAGAAACTCAGGTGGGTTTAGAGGTTCCTAAATGCTGAGAGAACCTGTGCCCCTTTCTAAGAAAAGTACAGGAAGATAGCAAGACCTAGATTAATAATGGCTGTATGGAATGTCTAAGCAATGGTCTGAGCCAGCCACATAGAGCTCTCCTGGGTCTCAGCGTGGAAGTAGTGTAATAAATTCCATGTTCTTGAGAGTGGAACGAAATAGCTAGTCTTTCTGAGTTTTCTATGAATCAACCTTGGCATAGGAATAGAAAAATGATACCCTATGCACAAGAAGGACAAAGAATTGACTGGAGAGTTAGACACAAACTAATCCGCCTACAAATGGTGATCAGTGTGACTCATGAGTATAGTCTAGACATGGAATAGGGAGCTCTCAACAGATGTAGGCATGAGTCAACGATGACCTAGCTCAGATGACCTCCTTACCGTGTCTTTGCATTATATCAAACCCCAGAACTTTAATGCAACTGAGGGAAGTGGAGAAAACCCTAAATTGACTTAAATTAATTATTCTGCCTGCACTAAGAAAATATCATTGCAGAAATTAAGATTTATTACAAAGAAATATATTTCATAGACGTTGAGTTTGTATACTTAGATTTATTTCCCTAATTTATAGATACCACATTAGAGATGCATAAATTAGCTATCATGACAGTGAAAGCTTTCACTTGGGTTAGAGTTGTCAGATAAAACCAGGATGCCCAGTTAAATCTGAATTTCAAATAAACAGTGGATTTTGTAATGTATATTAAAAATACCACATGTGACATAATTGTACTAAAAATACTGTTAGTTGAAATTTAAAATTAACTGGTAGTTCTGTTTTTTATTTGCTGAACTGACAACCCTAACTTGGGTAAGTTGTTCAGGCATTGTAAAACTAATCTTTAATAGGCCAAAAGCTCTTTAGAAATGAATTACAACTTCTTGATGTGAATCTTTCTAAAATGTTTTATGTACTTTCATTGCTTTAAAAATATACTATAGATAAACTTAAGTTGAATTTTAAGACTATAATTATGAAATTATGGGCTATATAATTCTTTTGAAAATATTGACTGATTGATTATAGTAGCACATTAAGGAAATAGAGTCTTAGAAAATGGAGAGTAATTAGAAATGGAAAAGAAGTCTGTTCTTCCTACCCATTTCTAATTTACCCTCTCTAGTTCAGACAAAAATAGTATTAGTTATTAAAAAGTACTGAAGCAATGTTGGCAATATTTAGTGTCTAATTAAAATTAGGGAGTGACGAAGTAAAAGATGGCTCATGTTTATTGTGTCATGTGGGATGATAGTGCCACCAAATAAGCTAAGTTTCAGAGGGAGAATAGTTTGTTGGTAAGATAATGAATTTATTTTTAGACATTTGATGTTGATATGCCTTTGGGGCATTAGAGAGAGATTCCTAGACTACAATTTGTGAGGAAGTTGTGACTTCTGGAGAAAGGTGGGTAGATTAGAGAGAGAGAGAGAGGTGATAGAGAGAGAGAGAGAGAGAGAGAGATAGATAGATAGATAGATAGATAGATAGGGAAATATACAAATATTCTTTATTCTTCAACATTTATGTAGCAGTTGGAAACATGGTTTCATGAGATCATCAAGGGATACTATTTAGAGTGAGCTTAGAAGAAGGCTGAGCAAGTTTAGGCCATAAAGGAGTCATAAGAAAATAAGGGAAAAATAAAAGGAGAAGTAGAGGGTATTTTCACTGTGACTAAGGGAGTTTCAAGAAAGAAGGTATGATCAGCAAGGTCAAATGACAATATTCAAATATTTTAAACTATAAAAATGACAATTTTATGTGATTCACCCTAGTAAGCCTAATAAGTTAGGACCACATTGGTTTTGACAGTTAGATAGATCACTGGGGACAGTTTTTCTTGAGCATGGGGAATAAGACCAGACTGCTCTAGGTTGAAAAAAATGAAAGTGATAATGTGGTAAAAGCAAAAATTTTCATAAGATAGTAATATACAAGAATGGATTGTAATATATGCTCTATCCTTTAGCATGAATGTGGGTCCTGGGATTCTGAGTCTTAGGTTGCAGACAATAGAGTTGCAACTGCGAAGCAAAAGCACTAATTTATTTGTGCAGAATATGTGGATTATAAAACCCAAAGCTCAACTTATCAATTTGGGATATGTGAAATATTAAGTTTAAGAAAACAGGCAAAGTTTAAGAGCCAGAACCTAAGAAAATATTTGCAGAAGTCAATCAGAAATACAAAGTAGGTAGGAAAGCTCAACCTTCTTATGATGCTGAGGACTTAGTGGCAAGAAGCCTTTATCCTGGGTGAAAGGTGAGTGGTTCAGGAGGCTTATCCAGTCAAGAAAGTTTGACATAAATAAAAGCAAGATCAAATGAGGGATTATGTTTTTACTTTTTAATGTAAAACCATTGAACATTCATATAGGGTAAAATGAATTAATTATTTAAAAGAGAAGAGAATATCAATAGATACCAATCCTAGGGGAAGCAGGTGAAATGAGGTAAAAGGCAATGATTAAGTGATTACTTTAATAAATGGGAATAGATACCTCTTCTTCCAAGAAAGGAAACTATGTAATGATTGAGTATCAAAATACATTTGAGGTTTTGGAGATAGAATATTGCTATAGGTTATACTTGTCAACTATGTCTTTTCATAAAGGCAGAAACCATATTACTGTTGAGAAAGGGTCTCCTTTTGTTGAGTAAGGGGCTTGAATAGAGTTGTAAAGTCTTGGAATAGAATTGCAGTTTGTAGGATACACTGATGAACAAGTAAAAAATAAATGATTACAGGGCATTTCTGAGTGCTCAGCTAGAGGTTGGTCACCATGAATTTGTAATGACACAAGCCTTCATAGATGTGTATTTTTTCATCTTTACTAAGTATTACAATTGGAGGAGGTAGGCTTCAGAATTATTTCAGTGTTGGGGTTTTGCTAGACTGATGCAAAAGAGTATAAGAGTATCCAAGTTTATAAATTTTTTTTCAGAATATCAAGCATCAAATCTAGATTAATTATGAAAGGTGTCCCATGATAGACATAATATAAAGGTGAAAGATAATAGGAACAATGAAGTAGAAATTTCAATGAAGTCACAGTTTAAGAGTGAAAGTGACAGGATGGACAAAGCACCAAAAGATTCAAAGAAATTCAAATAATTATTAAAGGTCAGTATTACAAAGATAGAACCATTTTAGTTGATGCCAGGAATAGATGACCAAACTGAAGAGGGGCTTGAATGGAGACCATTAGAGTTGAGGTCAAACAATTATCAAGTCAGTGTATGTTCTTATGGGCTTTGAAATCACTCATGTTGATGGCAGAATTAAGATGGATACATGGAATGAATCATTGTATATAAGTGTTTAAAGAATATGGAGGAATGACCACAAGTTTGTAAATATCAGAAATAAGAAGGGACCAGTATTGCTCAATGGAACTATAAAAATCTTAGATTTAAAGGAGAGTAGAAGAAGAATCATAGAAACAGTTCTAGAGGATGAGGGGAACTCTATTTCATTTTCTGATTTGGAGGTCCATGGACAGTGAGAGAATGGTTTTATTGGAGATACCTCCTGGGTAAGCTGAGTTTTCCAGAGAAAGCCTGGTTTTAGTTAAGGCCAACAAAGGAATAAATAATTTAGAGAGGAGCTAGGATTCCACAGTGCACAGAATAAAGGATGGATAGCATTGAGCAGAGTGGGGATAAGAATAGAGGAGATTATTATAGTTTGGGAGGTTATTATAGTTGATAGAGATGTAAAGAATTGGGCTCTTAATTGCCTTGCTGTTTTAAACATATCTCTAAATAAGAGTTTCAGTGTTGATGAAAACTGAGGCTTCAGAAGCTTGTTGAAAAAATTGCCAGCAGCTAAGTCTGAATTGTAGGTGGAGTAGGGCAGAGCTGGAATAGATCTCAGTGGCTAAAGACTGTCTGTAAGTGCTGAAGCTGCCATAGGACCAAGTCAAGTGGCCAGAGAGGCAATAAGGAACAACCCCAGGAACAACCCCAGGTGGTGAGAGGCCTTATATGCTTCACTGTATACATACACTTTGCAAATACACACAGAAATATCTTTTTATGTATAAATTAAATTTTAATTATTACTTCATTAAATGCACATTTATATATGTTCACTTCAGGAATTTTTCAAGTTATAAAAAATGTTTTTATGTCTCAGAGACTGTGCATAACTAAAACAAAAATGGGAAAAATAAAAATATACGCCAGTGGCTTAATCCACATCACATAAGGAGCCTGATTTGCTTGAATTTTTTTTTATATTGAATGGGCTATCCTTTTTTTTAAATTATCTTGGCTTTTGTATATAACCAAGAACACCTAAGTGGAATTAATACACACAGCATGAGGAATTTTACTGCCTCATTCAAGTGGGAAACTGACCTGCCCTGACTTTTTAAATAGGCCATGGTGATAATTGGTAAAGTGGTGTGGTGGCAGGTTTACCCAGCTGGTCACCTGCATGGAGAACAGCTTTCCTATTAAAGTTTATCCAACCATGAAGGACCTTTGAATGTGTTGTTTCTGCAGGGTGGGTGCTCTGCTGATGCATTCTGCTCAAACCCCAAATAAAGAAACGCTTGAGTTATTTTTGATTCAAAGCAAGCAAAGGGGTGATAAGCAACTGCCTGTACAATTGAAGCATATGCTTGCTGAGTTCTAATTCTCTTTTTGCTTTGAGACCAGATGCTATATCCTAGTAATTCCCAAACCTGGCTGATCTTCAGAATCATCTAGGGAGCTTTTAAAAATACCAGTATCTGGGCCTCTCACTCAGAGATTTTGATTGATTATATTTTGGCTGGAGTATAGAAATTGGATTTTGGAATATGCTCCAGATAAATATTTCATGTTTGGGTAACACTGCTCAATATCAGGGTCTTACAACCTTGATATGAGGATTGTGGTGTGGAGGGGAACTCTTCCTATAATTCAGACACATCACCCATTGCCAAGCCCCTAGTTCCCAAATGACAATTATTGCCCTAGACCACTTATTCGACATAGATATTTATCCACATGATAGGCATGCTTTAGGATTGGATTGCCTACAAAAGTGTAAAAGGATAAATGAGAAATGCTTGACTTTTTGATAAGTTACAGAACTGGGACCTCTACCTCCCCCTACCAGAGTTAAACTTCAGTCCTCTTGGCCAAGAAATTACTCTAGATACTTTAACACAAGTGCCTAATGTTTCCCCATCAGTAGAATGGTGTATAAAAATGAATGGGCCACTTACCAGTAGGGATGATTGTAAGATCAGTATTCATCTATGAGAAGCTGGTGCCATGACTAGATATTAGTTCTTAAATAAGTGATTAGCTCAAGAGCATGCTGTATCACGAGAGATAATACACGTTGGAATATGGGGAGAAAACACAGGTTCAATAACTTGAGCAAAAGAGAAGAATGAAGTCACTGGGTTTTGCCCCAATAATTGGTAGCAAATGTGCCAACAGTGAAAGAAAGCCAGTAACAGGATGATCAGAAATGAACCAGGATACCATAGAGTGAGAAGGGCATTTCAAGAACTAATTCTGCTTACCTGTATAACAGCACTATTATTAAACACTGGTCAGCAGATTTCTTTGACTAGGCTGATTATTCATGAATTAATCGTTATAGATGGTGAAGAGTACTGCCATGCAGCCTAATTATATATTTTACCATTCATTTCCTTCCCCCATGAAGCAGTCACATGGAGATACCAAGTATATTCTACAGTGAATATATGTTGTTTTTGTCACCTAGCATTGATCTCTCTCTTTTGGTAACAACATTCTGATATTCTTGGAAGAATTACCCCTTCCTAGGTAGACACATGAATCAGTCTCTGCCCATTAGGTTATTATACTTTTATGGTTACAGTGATGGTCCTGTTATCAGTTAGAGTGATGAGACTCAATTCTTAGCCAATTGTTAGAATATTAATGAAGGGAACACATGCTTTCCATAGAAGCTTCCAGGAGGATTGGATAAAAGCCTGGAACATCTGGCAGTCATCTTGCTGTAAGAAAAAAAAAAAAAAACTACCCATAAATGAAGCCACCATGAAGAAAACAGAGCGAAGAATTTTAGCTCCTGAATCCAGCCATTTCATTCACTGATAAAACCTTGACTTTCCAGAGATATGAGGCAATAATCTCAATCCCTCTCTCTTACTCCCTCTCCATCATTATTAACTCAATTTGAATTGGGTTTTCCTTTTTCCCCTCCCCTCCCCTCTCTTCTCCTCTCCTTTTCTTTTCTTTTCTTTTTTGGAGACAGAGTCTGGCTCTGTTGCCCAGGCTGGAGTGCGGTGGCACGATCTTGGCTCACTGCACCTCCGCCTCTCAGGTTCAAGTGATTCTCCTGCCTCAGCCTCCTGATAGCTGAGACTACAGGCGCCTACCGCCATGCCTGCCTAATTTGTATATTTTTAGTAGAGTTGAGGTTTCGCCATGTTGCTCAGGCTGGTCTCGAACTCCAGAATTCAAATGATCCACCCACCTTGGCCTCCCAAAGTGCTGGGATTGCAGGCATGAGCCACCGCACCTGGCCGGAATTGGGTTTTCTAATACCTTAAAACAAAAGAGTAATGATTAATATTTCCTGATGGAGAAAGCTATTTACTTATTCAAAACTAGGTTTGCTTATGATTTAAATTTAGTGTATAAGAAGAGTAAGCCTTTAGAAGATTGCTGATAATAATCATTTGTTGAAAAAACTGGATCCAAGTAAAAGTATTCAAAATAGTTGGGAGAGAGATCTGCCAAAATATACTTAAAATTTATAAGCAGCAAAGGAACAGAGAGGAAGAGTGGGATTAGAAATAGAGAAGGGGATAAGAGGGAGAGTCTTACAGAGACTTGGAATTTCCTGATAGGAAAACGCTAATGACACATACGGCAACTTGAAACCATGTAACCAAGGGATAACTTATTTTTCTAAATTTAATAGCTATTTGTCCCAGTTCTTGCCTTTCAGATTTAAAGATAGAAAGGAGTCAGGAAAATATATAATATACTTTCTAATTAGTAACTGGCTATTAACTAAAATGAACAGGTAAATGAGAAAAAGTCAACATGTCTTGGAGGTATTGGTAGGTAGCAAATTTTCCAGAGTTGCTAAAATAGCATGAAAAAAATTATTTTATTCATTTGGTTATTTGTTCAAACTGGTAATAGTTATTTTAATTCTTCTCCAGAGGCTGGAGCAAGCTCTCTACAATCACTAAGTGTGAAAATGTCAGATCTAGTCTGAACCTGGAGAGGGATTTGCACAGGGCCAAGACAACATGGTGGAAAGGAGAGCTTGACTGGTGGGTGAAGAGAAAGGTGGCTCAGCTAAATTCAGTTAATCCATTCCTTACCCTACTCTAGCTGTTGCTAAATTATTAATAACTTGTAGCAGAAGTCTCAGCTTGAGGCTATACCATGTTCATTTCTGCGGATCAGGCCTATCTGTACATGTCTGAATAATTGGTAAGAAGCCAAAAGATGCTTATTTATATGCAACATTGATAACCCACTTGGGAGATAATTCATTTTATAGTGTGCCTCAATGAATTTGGTGATTTGGAGAAGAGAGATTCTGAGTCAACTCTGGTGGGGTCACTGCATCTACTCTTCACTTTCCAACAGTGGCCGTACATTAGAAGAATAAAGGCATGCAGGTACAAGCTAGAAAGTCTGTTATATAAAAAAACTCAATAAAAGAGTAAGTATGAGCAGAATGGTGTCAGTAACCTTCTTAAGAACTGTGATACAAATAGAAAGAGATGTTCTTACCCATTTCGCCACAATTTACAGAGCACCAGGCAATTTCAGTGTTGCAAGAAGTACATGTATGGCAACAGTGCCTTACAGAAGACAACCATGGTATCAAGCAGAGACATCTTGACGTGGCAGAGAGTGGTACTCAGCAGCAATATTAGTAGTGTGTTTAGCAAAATTAGAGTTACTGATCAGAAGAGATATCTGTGGCCAGAATAGTGGTACTGCCTAGTGTGCATGGCTGAACTTGGCAGGAGACAAAGCAACATCAACCAAACACGCTCATGCTGAAGAGGAAGAGCAGGACATGGTAAAGGTGGAGGTGTTGCCCTGTGGATGGATTAGAATCCAACTGAAGCAATAGTAATACAACTGTCAGAGCCCTTCTGCCTGAAGTTTATGGGCAGAAACAGACACACATACACCACCCTCCCCCAACACACACTGGTATTTAAAGGGTTAATTTCTAGTGTGCTTCTAACTTGCAGTCCTATTACAAAGTAAAATTTAGTTTCTAAGAGTATTGAAAGGCAAAATTGCCCCTGACCCATAAAAATTTAGTGTTGATTTTAAAACCATTTAGACAAACAGTTGCCAGCAATATGGGTATTATGCTCCAGGAACAATGAAAAAAAGCTGTTTCTCTCATTCCCTATTTTCCTGGAGCAATGCATTCACATAATGCCATTTTGACATTGTAGAGACAAGTCTATTAAAATATGAATTATGGTTACTTTGTCTCTTATGTTGGTCCATTTAGCATAATAGTTGCAATTGACGTAAATAGCAGATAGTACATTTTATTCTTAGTGTTTGAAATTAAAATAGATTGAATGATTTTCTTGTATATATCATTGTTGAAGTTCTTGTTACACTCTGAATTAATACAAATAGCAGTAATAACACAACTGAATGCACCTAACATGTATTATTGGATTTATCCCAAGCTGCTTTTTCATAAATGGGCATTTCTATCCATGTAACTGAAACTCAGTAATGTTTTTAATGTTTTAAAATGAGAATGTTTTAAGAATCAAACTTGCAGAAATATAATCAAGATAGCAGGTGAGGTGAGAGGATGTGGTGGCCTGTAAAATAAGAGTTTACCATTTGTCTGAAGGATATTTTGGCTACGTATATCAAAAGCCATAAACTCTACACACCATCTGATCTAGCATTTACCTTTCTAGGATTTATTCTAAAGACAATGTTAAGGTTGTACACAAAGATTTAACTAAATTTTGTTTATTACAACATTATATAGCAAAAAGTAGAAATAATGTAAATGTATAATAGGGATTTGGTGTGATAACACATACGATCATATAGTAAAAGATTAGGTCAATTTTAAATTAGTTTGATTATGCTTTTTAATTTTATACTAAATTGCAAATATGGAAATACCACACAGAACATGTATAATGGAATCAGTTATTTTAAGTTGAAGACCGTTATAAAGGGGCACCCCAGGAAGCCTCCTTGTGCTCCATCCCAATCATACCCCTCAATTTTCATAAATAGCAACTATTTTGGATTTTGTAGCAATCACTTCTTTGTGTCTTTATTGATTTTATAACCCAAGTGTTCATTCCCAGATGCTAGTTCAGTCTTGTTAATTAATATAAATAAAAATACAAAGCCATTTCCATATCTTTTAAGTCTCTTGCAATCTATAAGTTTCTCTGGTGTCTTGCATTTGTTTTTTTTTAAAAAAAAACATATTGAAGACCCCAAAACATTTTGACCTGCAGAGTTTTCCGTGGTTTGGATTTTGTGGAATGAATATTCTTGGTGCACTTCTACTTGTTATTCTGCCCTCTGTATTTCCTGCAAACTAACAGGCCCAGAAGCATATCAAGTTCATGTCTGATCCCTTTGGCAAGACTAAAGGAAGTAGTGTGTTCTTTCATTAATAGGTCAAGTAGTTCCACGTTTTATGATTCTAAAACTATTGGTGATTACTCTTAGAACTGTTAATTATTTGGAGTTGTAATTTAGTCACATTCTAATTATATAAATTCTTTCTAAATTTAGTAATTGAAAAACAATTATAAATACATGATTTACCTTATCTACTATTTGGTTACCAAGTAATACTATTCCTATAAGAAAAGCAGGATTATTTATCTTGTTTGCCAGTTTTTAAGGTTATCATCCACTGTATATTTTGCCTATATTTAGTCTTAGTTCAGAAAGAAATTATGTATTTGATAATCAACATCAGTGCTTATTTCAGTGTCTGTCTAATCATTTTGGTTATCTGAAGTTCTTTCTCAAATAGATTCCTCAGGAAGTTCTTGTGAGAAAAATAATTATTCTTTGCTTGTTAAGTTAGTTTTGCTGGATATAAATCTTGCTTACATTTTCTTTTCTTCAGCCTTTTCTTCAGTCAGCATTTCCATTTTATTTTGCCATAAATCGTAGTACTGAAAAATCAGATGATAATGTGAGGCTCTAATATGTCGTGCACTCTCTTTTTTCCTAGATAACCAAAGATTTTTGTTCGTTTGTCTTTTAAGTCTAGGAATTGTACTGGAATATGTCTTGCTGATATTCTTAAGTACATGGTATGCTTATAAAATCATTTTTTATTTTAGAAAACTTCTGGAATGATAGTTTTTATCTTTTGCCATTTCTTTGCATTGAATTGGCTTTCATCTTTAGGGACTCTTAAATATTTACCATTCTTTCTCAAGCCATTTCTGTTTTTCTTTGCAAATTGAAAAAAGTCCTGTTTTTCACCTTAGACTTTTTTTCTTAAATAAAAGTGTATTTATTCAATTTTGCATTCTTCCTTTTGAAGTCATTTTATGAGTTATTTTTCTTTTTATTTCTAATTCTTTCCTAAATTCTGAACATTTCTGAGATTTAATTTTATTTACTGCTCATTTTTTAAATGACAGGTAAAATTGTATGTATTTACTGCATATAACATGATGTTTTGAGGTATATGTATATACCGTAGAATGACTAAATGTAGCTAATTAACATATGCATTACCTCACATAATTATCATTTTCGTGGTGAGAACACTTTAAAACCACTCAGCATTTTCCAAGAACAATATATTGTTAACTATAGTCAACCTGTTTTACAATACATTTCTTGAACTTATTTCTCTTATTTAACTGAAATTTTATATTCTTTGACAAACATCCCTCTAACCTCCTCCATCTCCAGCCATTCCTGGTAATCACTATTCTACTCTTCCATGAGATCAACTTTTTTAGATTCCATGTATAATTGAGATTTTGTGGTATTTGTCTTTCTGTGCCTGGTTTGGTGTATTTCACTTAACATAACGTCCTCCAGTTCTTCTATGTAGTCACAAAGTAGAGCATATCCTTTTCCTTAATAACTTAATAATATTTCATTCTGTATACATTCCATATTTTCTTTATCCATTCATCTGTTGATGGATACTAGGTTGATTCTATGTCTTGGCTATTGTGAATAGTGCTGCAGTAAATATGGGAATGCAGGTATCTCTGCAACTTACTGATTTCATTTTCTTTAGGTATATACCCAATAGTGGAATTGCTGGATCCTATGATAATTCTACTTTTATGTTTTTGAGGAACTTCTGCATTGTTTCTATAATGGGTGTACCAGTTTATGTTCCCACCAACAGTGTGCAAAAGTTCCCTTTTCTTCACATCATCAACACTTGTCATCTTTTAGTGTTTTGAAACAGCCATTCTAACAGATATGAGGTGATAAGTCATTGTGGTTTTAATTTTCATTTCCCTGTGATGGTCAATGATGTTGAGCTTTTGTTTTAAATGTACCTCTTGGTCACTCGTATGTCTTTCTTTTGAGAGCTGTGCATACAGGTCTTTTGCCCATCTTTTAACCAGGTTATGTTTATTTGCTATTGAGTTGTTTGAGTTTCTTATATATTTTAGATATTAACCCCTTATCAGATGCAGAGTTTGTATATATTTTTGACACAGAATTATTCTCAGTCACTTTGCCTACTGAGAACCCCTAGCTGACAACACCCCCACCTGGGCCTTGCTTGGGCATGTTTCCTGCCACAAGAGGTGGCCTGCTCACATGGCCCATCCAGGCCACACCTGGCTTGTGCAGCAGCCCAGCTTTAGTCATATATAGCATTCTTGAGATCACAGAATATAAGTATTTCAGCTAACAGATATATTAACTAGTTTGATTTAACTGTTCCACATTGTACTCATAAATTATAACATTACTTCATACCCCGTACATTTATACAATTATAAATTGTCAGTTTATAATAAAAAGCTTTGCAATTTTTTATGTAAAGAGTTAAGATCTTTCTGCAACCCCTATATATCTAAAAACTTTTTTTCTTGTGATATCTGCATACTAAATGTTGTAAGCCTCTGGCATAAGGCACTTTTTTTTCTGGCTAAATTTGAAATCAAAGAATATATTATACTGATGGACTTAAAATGTTTCTTTCCCATGCCAAAATTAAGCTCATAGAATGTATTTTTTTTTCTGTTTTTCTTACCATGGGCAATTAATTTTTGAGAATTAATAAGAGAACATTTGCCTCATTTGCCTTATTACACACATTGTATTCTTGCTTTCTTGTTTTTTTTTTTTTTTAGGACCAATTGAAAAGCCTGAAACATATTAATCTTCTGCTAACTGCAGCGTATCATGTTTCCATTTTCTTAGCTGTTTTCTGGTCATCTTACATTAGGACCATCAATATTAAGAACTTATCTACCTATTGGTTGCAATAACAATAGACAGACATATGAGACATATGAAATTCAAAATAAGATAAAATGAAATATCCACACAAAATTCAACAGTAAGAAAACATATAACCCAAATTTAAAAAATATGCAAAAGACTTAAACAGACACCTCTGTAAAGGATGATATATAGAAGGCAATTAAGCCCATGAAAATACTTCACCATCATCAGCCATTAGCAAGATGCAAAATAAAATTATGATGAAATAATACTACATATCTATTAAAATGGCTAAGGTAAGAAAATACTGGCTCTTCCAAGTGCAAGCAAGTTTGTAGAGCAAGTGGAACTCCCATGCATTATTAGTAGGAATACAAAATGTTGGGACAAAGGTGTCAGACTGGAAGCAGCTTATATACATCACCGTCATGAAGAGGAAATGAGAGGGCTGGTGAGCACTGACCCTACAGGCCAATTATATGAGAAACCATGTGAGGATCTATCAAGAAAGGAGGGGGACACAAAGAACAGAGAGGAGTGAAGCTGGACAACATCCTTTCTGGGCTCAGCATGAAGCCAGGAGAACCTCTCCAACATGGGAAAGGTTGAGTGAGTGAGAGACTCCTGGGTATTCACACTCTCCACAAAGACCTGTTTAAGACTGGGAACAGGAGAATTCACCTGGCCCCAGGACACCCCCACACCACCCTTCTAGACTGGAGCAGAGAGCCATCTAGATGTTTTTCAGGGGCAACTCTTGAGTCAAAGAGGCCCTCTACAAGCCTTGGGCCCCAGAGAACACCAGCACCAGTGA